>NC_000007.14:85234051-85537082 GCF_000001405.40 Homo sapiens
TTTTAAGGTTACAAACTGAAGTTTTTGGTGGTAAAGAGGAATGCAGTCTACAATGTTTCTCTTTATTGTTTCCAGCATAAAAACAAAACAGCTTCCACTGAAGCTTTTCAGGGTTTTGGAAGCAGAGTGGGTGTGCTCCCTGAGACCCCCAGAAAGGCCACCTGCCAAGATGAAGGGCTTAATAACTAATTTTTATCTGTTATCTTTGTAGTGTCCCTGGGCAATACTTGAAGACTGCGAGAAAGAGATCAGAACTGGATGCACCTTCAGTAAAGTGCTGGAAGAGATAAAAGACACTAAACTTCCTGAGAGAAACTAAAGTAGTTTCCTATCATACTGTCCACTAGAATATTTTTTCCTCGGGCCAGACTGAAGGCAGCTGTGAAGCAGAGCCATTGAGAGAGAAATGAGAGATTGAGAGATCAGTGGTCCTATTGCAAATGACCACTGTACTGGAGTTGCTCACCAGCAAACATCTGAGCCATCTCCACTAGCAGTTGCTTGAGGGCTGCACCTACAGAGCTTTTAAGCTCAGAAAAGCTCAATAAAAGCTCAGAAAAATTTATGAAAGGATTATAAAGTGAAAACTTTTTACTCTCAATCTTGCATAGAGAGAAAAAGATATCCAGTGTAAAATTAGTTTTCCAAAGAATAATGATAAAAGAAAATAACAGGTGTGTTAAAGGAACTAAAATGATCTTGACAGTTTGCAAGAAATAATGAAGCAAATAGTATTATTCACTTTAATTATTCCATTTAGGATTTATAGCTTGGCAAAACAAACTGAAAAATAAGGAAAAGGAGGAAGAGTCCCTTTGCATCGCTGCCCAGATTTCTGTCAGATATGTCTAAGCACAGGCTTTCTCAACCAGGGCTGGCTAGCGGCCCTCGGGCTTTCAGATAAACACTGATTCTTAAGGAATTTCTCAGCAGCTTGGGGAGTGAGCAGTTTGCACTGGAGCTGACACAGGTGTGTATGTCATTAACCCCAACAAGATCTTCAGACAGAGAAGCCATATATAACTGTCCTAGCACTGCTCAGTAGCACCTCTGGGCATAGTAAGGAAGAGAATAATAGTGTTGGTGTATGGTATTATTTTCCCTTTCTAGAAAAATTTTCTGTCTGGGATTATCACAACTCTGCTACTATTAGAAAACATATATATACTTATATACACATTATTTCTCTTCCAAATTTTCTTATAGTGGTATGTTCTGAATGTGTAAAAACAATTCTTGTCTAACAGAATTTGAGTGTCTTACCAAGTATGTTGTCGGGGGTATTTATAAGGCAAATATTGGGTGCTCTTGTCTTATTCATCAGTAATTTAAAAATCTAATTTTTCAGAAAAAGATCTAGAACACTGATTAGTGGACATTACAAAAAAGATCATTAGTTTGCTGATTTCACCATATAACTAAGTCTTATCAACTGAATTATTATTTCTCAGAGGGAAAAGGAAGGTAATGTTTAAAGGAGGATCTCTGTTCAAGGGAATAATTTTTCTTTATTCTTGATATCTGAACAGAACCCAGCTAAGGATTTGGAGCTAATTGAAATGGTAAAATGTATAATATGGGTGAAAGATAAAGCAATTTATATTCATAAAAATATTTTAGAAGAAATAGAAGTCATGATTTTTAAGCATAAGTGAAGGAATTATCCTAGAATAATGTGTGTGTCAGAAGGTGAAAATGGTGACTATGTAGGTACAATTTCATGCCAAATATCTGTTTTCTCCATAAGTAGGAAGGGAATACCACCGCAGGTCTGAGTGAAGCCAGTCTTAGGAGCATGGCAGGTTGGAGTTGAAGGGAATAGGAGAGGTGGCTGGCATTTTATTTACAGAAACATCCTAATTTCTTCAATCTCTAAGCTTAAAAATAACAATTTCTCTTTATTAAAAATTTCTTAGTATATGAGTTACTTCTGTACAACTAAAATTTTGTAAGGCCCCCTTTGAGACCTTATGCCATTCTACTTTATTTATCCCCAATTTTCATATGTAACTTCAGACATCCCAGTAGTTAGGTATAAGGCAATTACACATTGACCCCTCTAACTGGCTTTCAGATACCAAATGAGCTACCATGAGCAGAATTATGACCATTTCAAGCTGTTTCCTAGTGACACTACCTGCAACCCAAGAACTCCTTTTTGTAGGTCATTATATTTATTAAAACACTTGCATTTGTTGGCTAGATGATTTAGTATTTTATTTTATTTTATTTTATTTATTTATTTATTTATTTATTTATTTATTTATTTATTTAGAGATGGGGTCTTGCTCTGTTGCCCAGGCTGGAGTGCAGTGGCATGATCTCGGCTCACTGCAACCTCCAACTTCCCATTTCAAGCAATGCTCCTGTCTCAGCCTTCTGAGTAGCTGGGACTACAGGCACGAGCCACCATGCCCAGCTAATTTTTGTATTTTTAGTAGAGATGGGGTTTCACCATGTTGGCCAGGATGGTCTTGATCTCTTGATTTCATGATCTGCCCACCTTGGCCTCCCAAAGTGCTGGGATTACAGGCATGAGCCACCGCACCCAGACAATATTTTAATTTTTAATGCTTTGTTTTGAATTTTTATAAAATTATTGGTATACAGAAAAATAAAAATAATGCCACTAGTTTTAAAAATCATCTCATAAACTTAATATGATAAGATAAAGCAGAAATAATGAAACAAATATTTGGTGTTTTAAATAGTGAACCTTTAACTATCAATTGCATTCTAATTTGAATTAAGCCAGATAATGTATCAATTTTGAGTAAAGTACATAAGCTAAAGAACAGGCACAGGATGCTAGAGCTAAAGAATTTTAAAAAATGTGTAAAGGAGGAGGCAGTGTTAATAAATTTTAATTTTTATGTAATTGTGTATTAACATGCATTTGAAATAGTACAGAGATTTGTTGTATTTTTTTACCCAGTTTCTTCAATAACTTTTTGTAATAATATACTAAAAAATCAAACCAAGAAATTGACATTGGTGAAATTCATTGGAATTATTCAGATTTCAACAGTATTCATGCACTCATAATTAAGGGATTGAATAATTCTTTTTTAAATTAATAAACTTTTTTAGAGCAGTTTTAGGTTCACAGCAGTGTTCAGCAGAACATACAGTTAGAATTCCCATATACCTCTGTTTCTAAACACCACAACCTTCCTCACTATCAACATCCCAAACCATAGTGATAAATTTGTTACAATCAATGGAAGTACATCTACAAATTGTTGTCAAAGCCCATAGTTTACATTAGGATTTACTTGAGGTGGCGTACATTCTATGGATTTAGATCAATGTTATAATGACTCCTATCCACTGCTGTAGTATCATACAGAACAGTTTCTCTGCCTTACAAATTTTCTGTGATCTGCATACTCATACCTTCCTGTCTGCTAACCTGTGGCAACCACTAATATTGTCATCATAATTTTGCTTTTTCCAGAATGTCATATAGTTGAAATCATGCCGTATGTAGACTTTTAAGATGGTTTATTTCATTTAGTAAAAGGCATTTAAATTTCCTTCTTGTCTCTTCATGGCTTGATAGCTAATTTCTTTTCATTGCTGAAAAATATTCTATTGCCTGATGTACCCCAATTTTTTATCTATTCATCCTATTGAAGGCCTTCTTGGTTGCATCCAACTTTTGACAATTGAGGATAACGCTCCAATAATAAACATCCATGTAATAGCTTTTGTGTGAGCGTAAGTTTTCAGTTCATTTGGGTAAACGCTAAAGAATGCAATGACTGGATCTTATATTTATTTTGTAAGAAACCACAATTCCAAGGGAGCTGCACCATCTTTCATTCTCATCCCCAATGAATGAGAGTTTCTGTTGTTCCACATCCTCACCACCATTTGGTGTTGTCAGTGTTTTGGATTTTGGCCATTCTAAAATATGTGTAGTGGGATACCAGTACTGTTTTAATTTGAAATTCCTAATTGCATACAATGTTGAACATCTTTTCAAATGCTTGCCATCTGTACATTTTTTGATGATGTATCTGTTCAGGTATTTTGCACGTTTCTTTTATCCATTGGTTTGTTTTCTTATTGTTGAATTTTAAGAGTTCTTTGTGTACTTTAGATAACTTCCTTTATCAGATGTACCTTATGCAAATATTTTCTTTCAGTCTATGGTAAAGTACAGCTTATCACTTCTTTCTTTTATGCATTGTACCTTTAGTGTCATATCTAAAAAGTTATTGCCATACCCAATGTCACCTATATTTTTTCCCATTTTATTTTCTAGAGGTTTTATAGTTTTCATTTTACATATAGATCTATGATCCACTTAAAATTAGTTCTTATGAAGGGTGTAAAATCTGCAGGTAAATTCATTTTATTGCATGTGGATGTCCAGTTGTTCCATCATCATTTGTTGCAAATGTCTTTATTCCTGGATTGCCTTTGCTCTTTCGTCAAAAATCAATGGGCTACAATTATTGTGTCAATTTCTGGGCTATCTATTCTATTCTACCAATCTGTCTCTTCTTCCTCCAATACAACACTGTCACTATTACTGGAGCCTTCTAGTAGTTCTGGAAGTCAAGTAGTGTCAATACTCCTACTTTGCTTTCCTCATTCAATGTTAATTTGGCCATTTGGGGTTGGATTTTCCATACAGACTTTAGATTTAGGTTGTCAATATCCACAAACTAACTTTCTGAGCTATTGTTTGGGATTGCATTTAATCTGTAGATCACGTTGGGAAGAATTGGAAACCTGACAATATTGAGTCTTCCTGCACATGAATATAGAATTTCTCTTCATTTATTTTGTCCTTCTTTTGTTTCATCAGAGTTTTGTAGTTTTTCTTTTATAGATCTTGTACATAGTTTTTTAGATTTATACCTCAGTATTTTATTTGGGCAGTACTAATGTAAATAGTACTGCATTTTAAAAAACTTTAAATTTTCTAAATTGTATTTATTATTTTTATAAATGTACTTAAAATTATTTATTGCATTCTCGTTGCCATCAGGTAAAATATACACACCTTATTAAGGTTTATCAATTGTATTATTTCTATTTCAGTGCTTCTCAAATGTTAAAGTGTGTTAGGAATCACCTGGGGATCTTGCTAAATGCAGATTCAAATTTAGTATGTGTTACGGTTTAAATGTATCCCCTCCCAAATTCATGTTGAAACTTAATCTCCATTGTGGTAGTATTAAGAGTGAGGCCTTTTGGGAAGTGATTAAGTTGTAATGTCTCCACCCTTGTAAATGGATTAGTGCCTTCTAAAAGCTAAGGAACTAGCTTAGGCCTGTTTTTGTTCCTCTTCCACTGCCACGTGAGGAAACAGTGGGGCATCGTCTCGAAGCAGACAGTAGCCTTTAACTGATGCTAGACCTGCTGGTGCTTTGCTTTTGGACCTCCCAGCTTCCAAAATGATGAGAAATTCATTTCTGTTGTTTGTAAATTATCCAATCTGTGGCACAGTGTCATAGCAGCACAAATTAACTGACACAGAAAGTCTGCAGAGACACCTGAGAGTCGACATTTCTATGAGCTCCTAGGTGATGCTGACCACTTCTGAACTCTCAATATATGCTTCATAATAAACTAAGGAAAATTATGCTGGAACTGTACTCACAAACGTTAACATTCAGTTGGACTGAAGTTTTTTCACAAGTTCACTGAATGGTTTGAGCCAGTTGTAGTCGATAGCTACTACCTGTTTCACTTTTTGCTTCTTTTAACTCACATTGTGCACTCTGGTGTTGTATCTTTAATTTCAAATTCCACTTTCTCATTACTGTTATAAAGGAAAGCGATTGTCTTTTGTATATTAACTTCGTATTCTGTAACCAACCTGTAACTATTTATTTTCCAGAAGTTATTTTCTGGATTCTTTTTAATTTTCTACATAATCATGTTTTCTACAAAGATAGTTTTATTTCTTTTTTCCTGTTAGGTCTAACATTCATTTGTTTTTCTTATCCTATTTGATTAGCTAAGACTTCCAACAAAATGTTGAAAAGCTCTGGTGGGAGGGGACATCCTTGTCTTTTTCTTGATCTTAGGAAAAATGCTTTAAGTTTCTTATTAAGTATGATGTTCACTATAGGCTTTTTGTAGATGATCTTATTCAAGATGTGAAAGTCCCCTTCTATTCTTAGTTTGCTGAGGGTGAGTGTTAGATTTTTGTCAAGTGCATTTTCTGCATTGATTGATATGATCATACGATTTTTTTTCTTTTTAGATTGTTGATATGATGGATTACATTACTTGATTTTCCAATGTTGAACCAGCCTTGCATGGCTGAGATAAATCTCATTTGTATGTGATGTATTATTTTTTGTATGTATTATTGGATTTGATTTGCTAATATTTTGTTGATGATTTTTGCAACCATGTCATGATAGACATTTGTCTGTAGTTTAATAATTTCTTCTTCTGGTTTTAATAGTAGAGCGATGGTTACCTCATACAATGAGTTTGGAAGTATTCCCCTCTGCTTATACTTTGTAGATTAGACTGCAAAGAATTGGCATAATTTCTTCCCTAAATATTTGGTAGAATTCACTAGTGAACATATCTGGGCCTGGTGTTTCCTCTCTTTAAAAGTTGTTAATTATTGATTAAATGTTTTAAAAGATATAGACCAATTAATATCTATATCTTCTTATGTGAACTTTGGCAGATAATTATGTCTTTCAAGGAATTGATTCATTTCACCCAGTCTATCAAATATGTGTGCATAATTTTGCTCATAGCATCCCTTTATTATCACTTAAATGCCTGTGGGATTTTAATGCTGTCTTTCTGTCATTTCTCTTATTAGAAATTTGTGTCATCTTTCCAACCCACAGAGTAGGAGAAAATCTTCACAATCTATTCATCTGACAAAGGACTAATATCTAGAATCTACAAGGAACTCACAAAATTATCAAGAAAAAAACAAACAATCCCATCAAATAGTGTGCTAAGAATATGAATAGATGATTCTCAAAAGAAGATATACAAATGGCCAACAGACATATGAAAAAATGCTCAACATCACTAATTATCAGGGAAATGCAAATCAAAACCACAACGAAATACCACCTTACTCCTGCAAGAATGGCCATAATAAAAAAATCAAAAAATAACTGATGTTGACATGGATGCAGTGAAAAGGGAACACATCTATACGGCTAGTGGGAATGTAAACTAGTACAACCACTATGGAAAACAGTATAGTTTCCTTGAAGAACTAAAAGTAGAACTACCATTTGATCCAGCATACCATTTGATCCAGATAGTGGGTATCTACCCAGAGGAAAAGAAGTTATTATACAAAAAAGATACTTGCACAAGCTTGTTTATAGTAGCACAGTTCACAATTGCAAAAATATGGAACCAACCCAAATGCCCATCAATCAATGAGTGAATAAAGAAACTGTGTGTGTGTATATATATATATATATATATATATGAATACTACTCAGCAATAAAAGAAATGAATTAATGGCATTTGCAGCAACCTGGATGGGATTGGAGGCTTGTTTTAAGTGAAGAAACTCAGGAATGGAGAATCAAACATCTTTATGTTCTCACTCATAAGTGGGAGCTAAGCTATGAGGATGATACGATGGACTTTGGGGACTCAGTGGGGAAAGGGTAGGAAGGGTGTGAGGGATAAAAAACTAAAAATTGGGTTCAGTATATAATGTTCAGGTGATGGGTGCACCAAAATCTCACAAAATCACCACCAAATAACTTACTCAGGTAACCAAATACCACTGTTTTCCAAAAACCTATGGAAATAAAAATAAATAAGTAAATAAATAAATAAACTACAATAAGATATCATCTTTCCTCATTTAAAGTGGATTTTATCCAAAAGTAAGGCAATAACAAATGCCTGCCAGGATGTGGAGAAAAGGGAACCGCTGTACAGTGTTGGTGGGAATGTAAATTCATACAACCACTATGGAGAACAGTTTGGAGGTTCCTCAAAAACTAAAAATAGAGCTACCATAAAAAAAAAAGAAATTTGTGTCACCTTTGTTTTCTGCTTTGTTAATCTGACAAGCAAGTAATCCATCTTATGGACCTTCTCAAAGAATCAGCCTTTGGTTTTGTTGATTTTCTGTATTGATTCCTTGTTTTCATTTTCATACATTTCTAACTTTTATTATTTATCTTCTTCGGCTTACATTGAATTTAATTTGCTTTTCTTTTTGTAGCTTCCTGGGTGGACACTTAGATTAATAATTTTACATTTTTTTCTAATATAATTATTCAGTGCTATAAATTGTACTCTCATCACTGCTTTTACTGCATTTCACAAATTTTGATAAGTTGTATTTTCATTTCAACTTACTTCTATACATTTTTTAAATGTCTCTGAGATATTTTTTATTGACCTATATGCTCTGTGTGCTATAGAAAGGTATGTCATTTAATCTCCAAGCATTTTGAGATTTTTCTGGCTATCTTTCTGTTATTTGTCTCTAGTTTAATTTCATTGTGGCCTTAGAGCAAACATTGTTGTTTAGTGGTACTGTTGACTTAAACTCTGTTCCTACTGATTTACTGCTTGCTGGTTCTGTCTATTTCAGATACAGGGGTGTCATTGTCTCCAACAATAATATTGGATTTATCTACTTCTCCTTATGGCTATACCAGTTTTTGCCTCAAATATTTTGATGAAGCTCTGTTTTTGGGTGTATAAACATTAAGAATTAACTCTTCTTTGATTATTAACCAAATTATCATTATGTAGTACTGTCTTTATCCATGACATTTTTCTTTCTCTGAAGTATGCTTTTCTATCTGAAATTAAAAAAATGAAACAAAACCTGATTTTTTACCTTTAGTAAGGCTTGTAATTTTGTCATCAAACATAGACATGATGTAGTAGAGAAAAGGAACTGTGGTATAAGGCTTTAGTAATGTCATAGTAAGGTTTGCGGGGAGAGAAAATATTATATAGTTTTACGGATAGGTCTGAGGCTTTGTTGAGCCTGTGACTCTGGACTGTTATCACCAACCAGTTCTGCTTCAGTCCCCCACACCACCAAGTGAGGTGAGACAGATAGAGTGGGCTTCTGTTGGGTATTTCCTTTCTCCTAAGTAAGTCTCTGATGGAACCTCAGCAGGTTAAGTTCTAGTAAAATAATTTATCCTGAAGGCAAGCCTTGTTTATGGGGACAGGATGTAATGGCATATTTCAAAATGGTTTGCTTTTCCTTCCCTTTGCTGGAACCACAAAACTTTTTTTTCTCTGTTATTCTCTGTGAGGTCCTGTAAGAGCTCCTGGAGGTAAAGTTCACAAAAGTGTAGGGCTCCCCATGAGTGGAGTTTTTCTCTCACATATTTGTTCACACTAATTCTCCAGCAACTTGTCGATTCCGGTACTGGTTTTTCTACCCCAAGACTGGTTCGTCTAGAGGTGTCCGTTTGTGGGTTTCTGCTCTGTAAATTGTGATTCTTGTATTTGCCTGTCTGTCTCAAATTTTTGGTGCAAAGTTTGCCCTATGACTTCATTTCTCTGACAAATTTAAAAAGACTTGCTGATTTTTTAGTTTGTTCAGCTTTTTACTTGTTGTTAAGATGGAATAGCAAATTCTAAGCCCCTTATCTGCTGGACCAGAACCCAGAAATCTGTACTTTATTTTTTAACTACAAAAAAAATGGAATCTTCCACGTGAAATGTGAAGTCTACGGAATGTTTTTAATATTTGACTTGCAGTTCTTTTCAGGAACTCATTATATTGGAAAGTATAAGAATAGCTTTATTCTGAATTTATTTTAACATTTTCCTATTGAAGATGTTGCAATTTCAGAATTTATTTTATAAATCACGTCCATACTATCTCATATTGACAATAAGAATATTCAGCAACACTAGTGTTGTTTACTGCATTCAAGAAATTAATTACTAGGTATGTTATGGGGATGTGATCAAGTTACAGTATATATCTTGTTTAAGTATCTGATATACTCAATGTATGTTGTCTTAGTCCATTTAGTATTGTTATAAGAGAATACCCAAGGCTAGGTAACTTATAAAGAAAAGAGGCATATTTGGCTGAAGATTCTCATGGATGATAAGTCTAAGGGCATGGAACTGGCATCTGCTTAGCTTCTGATGAGGAGCTGGTGCTGCTTCATAACAGCAGAGAAGAAGAAAGATAAGTGGACATGAGCAAAGAGAGATGCACTAGAAGCTGCACTCACCTATAACAACTTGCTCTCAGAAAAACTAATCCCTTTCCACAAAAGTGAGGACTCGCTCACTCCTGAGAAGTGGCATTAATCTATTCATGAGGGTGGTACCCTCATCATCTAAACATCTCCCACTAGTAATCCCCACTTCCACCAACACTGCCATATTGGGAGTCAAATCTTAATATGATTTTCAGAGGGGCATAATCAAACTGCTGCATATATTTTCTCCATTCTTTGTGATTATTTTGTTTATATACTTATCCTTATAAAACATTATTTGCAATGGTGCAAGCCACATATCATTGAATATAAAATAAACTGCAAATCTCTAGGTTGCGATAGTCCAGGAGGTATGTGTCAGTCTAAAGTAGGAAGCAAAAAATAATGACAGGAGTTAGAGGGGTAATATTTTTATGTAGTGTTAAAATCTAAATTATTCTTCTTCCAGGCAAAATCCCGGATGTACTGCACAATCTTTTTTTTTTTTTTTTTTTTTGAGACTTTGTCTCACTCTGTTGTCAGGCTGGAGTGCAGTGGTGCGATCTTGGCTCACTGCAACTTCTGAGTCCTGGGTTCAAGTGATTCTCTTGCTTCAGCCTCCTGAGTAGCTGGGACTATAGGCACCCACCACCACTCCCGGCTAATTTTTTTGTATTTTAGTGGAGACTGGGATTCACCACGTTGGCCAGGATGTTCTTGATCTCCTGACCTTGTGATCTGCCCACCTTGGCCTCCCAAAGTGTTGGGATTTACAGGCGTGAGCCACTGCGCCCGGCCAGAATCTATTTTGTTACTGAAGTGAAACATGAAGTGACAAGTCCTTTCTTTTTGAGGGATGTAGCAGCAATTTATAATTTATAGAGTATGTTAATGGTATATGTATGGCACATTAAGATCCTGAATCTAATGTGTGAACTTTCAAAAAATACAAAACCTCGAAACAAAAGCATTAAAATTCAAAATCGTAAGGTTGGGAAACGGAAGGATGTGAAGTTAAAAAGAAGATCATTGGACAATATAGAACGGGAATGATTTAAGAACAAGAGAACCTGCAGAGGCTGAGAATAGAGATTCAGTACATAGATTGTGAAGTACAAAATAAGAAAAATTCTTTACAGAATTGTGCCTGAATAAAGACTGGTGGAAATTTAAGCATAGCACAGTATTCAGACAACTATATGCCTGTTTTTAAGAACTAGCACTATGAAAACAAATATTCTAAAAGCTTTACTCAGCTATAATGTTCGACTTTCTCAAAAAACTTTCCTCAGTAACATATCTTTACTCCTTTGTATTTACTTCACATTAAATCAAGTTGAAATTTTTATACCCTTTGGTTTCCCATCCTCAGTATACACATGAAACTTCAACATTTATCTTACTTAGGATGCAGTTAAGCTTAAATGAACTAGAACTAACAAAGATAAGCCGATTAAATATGTGAGTAATTATCAATCTTTCACATAGCATTTTTTTTCTTTCATAAGATTAAATGGGTACAACAAAAACGCTAGTTTAAAAGCTACAGATTATTTCTCATTATATCTTCTCTTAGTAAGATTTCTCTATTAGAGTTACAATTAAGGTATTTCTCACATAGTAACAAAACATGTATTACTTTCTAGACTTATTATCTTGCCTTTGGCTATATCATAGTTTAAGCAACTAGGTGAGATTGGAAGAATAAAAGATAAACAAGTAAATCTGCTGGAAAATAATTTGGTAACATAATAGAAATGGCAAAACAAACAAATAAAAAATCTAAGATGTAGAACATATGGATAAAAACCACAAAATTTGAGTAGATGTTAATGAATATATTTATTATTTGTCTCCATGACAATGTGCATGATTTAATGTCGACATGTATTTATTCATTATGCAAATATATTCATTTAGGCTATGCCATTTTAATTTCAGTCATTAAAACTTTATGTAAGAGCCTTCTTTATGTTTACAATTTGTGCTTTCAGTTTGGGGAAAGCTTCTCCAATAGTATATCTTTAAGCACAGCAAAGATAAGATTATTTAAGGCAGACTGAGTTATTCATTCAGATGAGTTGTAATTTTCACAAATGACAACAGAAGTGTATTTGGAAGTACTTCATACAAAAAGCTATAGAAAACTTTCTCATAACTTTCCAAAAGTTGTAAGAGGCCCTCAATAACTTCATCTTCCTTCAGATTTTTTTTTCTGTGGAGCTGTGAATCATTTCCTTCAACTGCAAATGTAAATGTGCCATTTTAATGAGTGAACTAATTGGTGAAAAATGAATGACACAGATATATGTGAAACGCTTAATTGTCAATATTAGAGAAATAAAAATTAAAACCTCAAGGAGATAAATCATAGTAGATACATTTCTACTAGTTTGTGTAAATTAGATGTGTGAAAATACCAAGTTTGGGTGATGATATGTAATAATGGGAATATAGGGTGTATTGTTACCAGCACTGAAAAAAACCTGATAATATCTAGTAAATTTGAAGATAATAATTCCCTATGACCTGGAATTCCACTCTTTGGTAGGTAACCTAAAGAAATTCTTTTATTCAGGACCCAGGAGACATGTATAAGGATGCTCATAAGCTTGTTGAGATGAGCCTCCGTATAGTAGCATCTTAATTTTCTTGCCACACAAAATGTATAAATAAAATTTGATACAATATAACAGTGAAAAAAACTACAACTACCTGCAACAAAATATAAAAAGCTAAAAAAAAAATAATGCTGAAAGTATACGTAAGTCGCTGAAAAATTTGGTAAAATAATTTCATTTACTTAAAAGTCAAATATATATCAATACAGTGGTGGCCTCTGGGAATAAATGTAAGGAGCATGAGACCAGGAAGGAGCTCATAGAGAAATTCAAACTTACTAAAAATTTTCTGTTTCTTAAGTTACATCCTGCCTATATTGATTAATCTTTAAATGGCAAGAAATAACACAGAGAATAATCACTGACAGAAGAGATGCACACAAGGTAAGTCTCACATTCACCTAAGCTTTTCCCCAGAAGTAAATCCACACACAGAAACATTTGAAAATTAAGAAAAGTGGAAAAAATAGATTGCTGTCTCATTATATAAAAAATAAATTTCAGGGTAATTCAAACTTACATGTGAAGAGCAAAACTTTAAGTGCTGTAGAAGAACAATAAGAGGTCATTTTGTGGTCTTAGAGTGAGGAAGATTTCTTAACTAAGACATCATGTGCACAAACTAAAAATCCTTGAATATATTAACAGTTAAGTATATATGCATCTCAAAAAATCATTTAAAAAAGAAGTTATTTTGTGAATACCTACAAATGATTTCAAGTTTACATGGAGAGGCATAAGAGCCAGAGTAACTAAATCAACATTGAATAGGAAAAACAAAGTAGAAGGAGTGATACTACCTGACTTCCAGACTTCTTATAAAACTGTAGTAATCAAGGCAACGTAACATTGGCTAAAGAATAGACAGGTAGATTTACAGAACTGAATAGGGAGCCAAGAAATAAACCCACAGATATAGTCAACTGGTCTTTGACAAATAAACAGGGGAAACACAATGGAGAAAAGATATATTTTTCCAACAAATTATGCAAGAACAGCTGGATATCTGGAAACAAGAAAATGAATCTAGACACAGACCTTACCATGCAAATTACCTCAAAGTGCATTATAGGCATAAAGGTAAAACCAAACCATAAAACTTTTAGAAGATAATTGAAGAGAAAATTTAGGTGACATTGAGTATGGCAATGACATAGATACCATGCAAAAGGCATAATTCATGAAAGAAAAAATGTGAAAAGTTTGAAAAGACAAGCCACAGACTGGACAAAATATTTGCAAAAGACATATGAGATACAGGACTGAAATATGTGAAGAACTCTTAAAATTCAACAAAAAGAAAACAATCTGATAACAAAAAAAGGGGCCAAGAACTGAACAGACACCTCCCCAAGAAGATATACACAGAGCAAATAAGCTTGTGAAAAGACATTGTAGGCCAGATGTCATCAGTGAAATTCACTTTAAAACAACAATGAGATACTACTACACACTACCAGAATGCCCAAAACTTAGAACAGTGACACCACCAAATGCTGTTGAGAATGTGGAGTAACTGTCACACTCATTTATTGATACTGGGAATGGAAATTGGCATGATCACTTTGGAATATAGTTTGGTGGTTCCTTACAAAACTAAAAATATTCTTACCATATGATCCAGCAGTTGTGGTCCCTGGTATTTACTCATAGGAACTGATAACGCATAGCCACACAAAAGCTTGCACATAGATGTTTATAACAATTTGATTCATAATTGCCAAAACTTGAAAGCAACCAAGGTGTCCTTTAGTAGGTGAATATAGAAATAAAACGTGATACATCTAGACAATGGAATATTATTCAGCACTGAAAAGCCATGAGCTATCCAGTCATGAAAAGACATGGAGGAAACTTAAATGCACTTCACTAAGTGAAAGAAATCAACCTGAAAAACCTAAATACTGTATGATTCTAATAAATCATATTCTGGAAAGGGCATAACTATGGAAACGGTAAAAAAAAAAGTCAGTGGTTCTCAGGATTTAGCAGAGAGGTTATAGATGAATAGGCAGGGCATAGATGATTTTTAGAGGAGTAAAACTTCTGTGTGATACTACAATTGTGGATATAAGACATTACACATTTGTCAAAACCCATAGAATATACAACACCAAGAGTGAACCCAAATGTAAACTATGGACATTGGGTAAAAATAATCTGTCAATGTAGTTTAATTAGTTGTAACAAATGTACCACTCTGATAGGGGATGTTGACAATGGGAGAGGTTATGCATGTGTGGGAACAGGCAGGGGCATATGGTATCTCTTCCTCTCAACTTTGCTGTTATCCTAAAATCACTCTAAACTATAGTCTTTTTAAGTGTTCTAAAAACAAACAAACAAAAAACCTATTGAATGATGAGATGAGAATGTCACTTTACTGCTGTGTTCTTCCTCCCCAAAACATATAATCCCAGTCTACAAAACATCTGACCAATTATCTTCACAGCAATCAAGGTAATCAAAAACAAGGAAAGCCTCAAAAACTGACACAGGAAAGAAGAGCCGAAGGATACCTGACAATTAAAGGTAATATGGTATCATGCATGGGATCCTGGAATAGAAAAAAGGACAGTAGGAAAAACTAAGAAAATCTGGATAAAGAATGGGCTTTAGTTAATACTAATGTATCAATATTGGGTTACCAATTACACCCAGTCTACCATATTGACATACAACTCGAACAGTAGACCTCTTCTGAGCCAACTATCCCTTGAAACTACCTTATCCCTTGAAAATATCACACTTTCTTTAACTGATGATCAATTAAAAAACAATTGAGGACCTACCAATTTTCCATTTAAAATAAATCTGTTTACTCATATTAGTGAACACGTGTTATATGTGGTGTTAATCAGAACCTGAACTATATAACTGAAAGAACTGGAAGACAAAAATATAATTTTCCCTATTGTATTCTTAAGATTCAGAACTCCATTTTCTCCCCCAGAAAAAATTCTCTAAAACTGCATCTAGAAGTCTGTAGTAAGTTATATAAAAATTAAATTTTCGATACCTGAGGGAGGAGCCAAGATGGCCGAATAGGAACAGCTCCAGTCTACAGCTCCCAGCGTGAGCGACGCAGAAGACGGGTGATTTCTGCATTTCCATCTGAGGTACCGGGTTCATCTCACTAGGAAGTGCCAGAGAGTGGGCCCAGGTCAGCGGGTGCACGCACCGTGCACGAGCCAAAGCAGGGCGAGGCATTGCCTCACTTGGGAAGCACAAGGGGTCAGGGAGTTCCCTTTCCTAGTCAAAGAAAGGGGTGAAGGACGCACCTGGAGAATCGGGTCACTCCCACCCGAATACTGCGCTTTTCCGACAGGCTTAAAAAATGGCGCACCACGAGATTATAACCCGCACCTGGCTCGGAGGGTCCTACGTCCACGGAGTCTTGCTGATTGCCAGCACAGCAGTCTGAGATCAAACTGCAAGGCGGCAGCCAGGCCGGGGGGGGGGGGCGCCCGCCATTGCCCAGGCTTGATTAGGTAAACAAAGCAGCCAGGAAGCTCAAACTGGGTGGAGCCCACCACAGCTCCAGGAGGCCTGCCTGCCTCTGTAGGCTCCACCTCTGGGGGCAGGGCACAGACAAACAAAAAGACAGCAGTAACCTCTGCAGACTTAAATGTCCCTGTCTGACAGCTTTGAAGAGAGCAGTGGTTCTCCCAGCACGCAGCTGGAGATCTGAGAATGGGCAGACTGCCTCCTCAAGTGGGTCCCTGACCCCTGACCCCCGAGCAGCCTAACTGGGAGGCACCCCCCAGCAGGGGCACACTGACATCTCACACGGCAGGGTATTCCAGCAGACCTGCAGCTGAGGGTCCTGTCTGTTAGAAGGAAAACTAACAAACAGAAAGGACATCCACACCAAAAACCCATCTGTACATCACCATCATCAAAGACCAAAAGTAGATAAAACCACAAAGATGGGGAAAAAACAGAACAGAAAAACTGGAAACTCTAAAAAGCAGAGCGCCTCTCCTCCTCCAAAGGAACACAGTTCCTCACCAGCAACGGAACAAAGCTGGATGGAGAATGACTTTGACGAGCTGAGAGAAGAAGGCTTCAGACGATCAAATTACTCTGAGCTACGGGAGGACATTCAAACCAAAGGCAAAGAAGTTGAAAACTTTGAAAAAAATTTAGAAGAATGTATAACTAGAATAACCAATACAGAGAAGTGCTTAAAGGAGCTGATGGAGCTGAAAACCAAGGCTCGAGAACTACGTGAAGAATGCAGAAGCCTCAGGAGCCAATGCGATCAACTGGAAGAAAGGGTATCAGCAATGGAAGATGAAATGAATGAAATGAAGCGAGATGGTAAGTTTAGAGAAAAAAGAATAAAAAGAAATGAGCAAAGCCTCCAAGAAATATGGGACTATGTGAAAAGACCAAATCTGTGTCTGATTGGTGTACCTGAAAGTGATGGGGAGAATGGAACCAAGTTGGAAAACACTCTGCAGGATATTATCCAGGAGAACCTCCCCAATCTAGCAAGGCAGGCCAACGTTCAGATTCAGGAAATACAGAGAATGCCACAAAGATACTCCTCGAGAAGAGCAACTCCAAGACACATAATTGTCAGATTCACCAAAGTTGAAATGAAGGAAAAAATGTTAAGGGCAGCCAGAGAGGAAGGTCGGGTTACCCTCAAAGGGAAGCCCATCAGACTAACAGCTGATCTCTCGGCAGAAACCCTACAAGCCAGGAGAGAGTGGGGGCCAATATTCAACATTCTTAAGGAAAAGAATTTTCAACCCAGAATTTCATATCCAGCCAAACTAAGCTTCATAAGTGAAGGAGAAATAAAATACTTTACAGACAAGCAAATGCTGAGAGATTTTGTCACCACCAGGCCTGCCCTAAAAGAGCTCCTGAAGGAAGCGCTAAACATGGAAAGGAACAACGGGTACCAGCCGCTGCAAAATCATGCCAAAGTGTAAAGACCATCGAGACTAGGAAGAAACTGCATCAACTAACGAGAAAAATAACCAGCTGACAGCATAATGACAGGATCAAATTCACACATAACAATATTAACTTTAAATGTAAATGGACTAAATGCTCCAATTAAAAGACACAGACTGGCAAATTGGATAGTCAAGACCCATCAGTGTGCTGTATTCAGGAAACCCATCTCACGTGCAGAGACACACATAGGCTCAAAATAAAAGGATGGAGGAAGATCTACCAAGCAAATGGAAAACAAAAAAAGGCAGGGGTTGCAATCCTAGTCTCTGATAAAACAGACTTTAAACCTACAAAGATCAAAAGAGACAAAGAAGGCCATTACATAATGGTAAAGGGATCAATTCAACAAGAAGAGCTAACTATCCTAAATATATATGCACCCAATACAGGAGCACTCAGATTCCTAAAGCAAGTCCTGAGTGACCTACAAAGAGACTTAGACTCCCACACATTAATAATGGGAGACTTTAACACCCCACTGTCAACATTAGACAGATCAACAAGACAGAAAGTCAACAAGGATACCCAGGAATTGAACTCAGCTCTGCACCAAGTGGACCTAATAGACATCTACAGAATTCTCCACCCCAAATCAACAGAATATACATTTTTTTCAGCACCACACCACACCTATTCCAAAATTGACCACATACTTGGAAGTAAAGCTCTCCTCAGCAAATGTGAAAGAACAGAGATTATAACAAACTATCTCTCAGACCACAGTGCAATCAAACTAGAACTCAGGATTAAGAATCTCACTCAACACTGCTCAACTTCATGGAAACTGAACAAACTGCTCCTGAATGACTACTGGGTACATAACGAAATGAAGGCAGAGATAAAGATGTTCTTTGAAACCAATGAGAACAAAGACACAACATACCAGAATCTCTGGGATGCATTCAAAGCAGTGTGTAGAGGGAAATTTATAGCACTAAACGCCCACAAGAGAAAGCAGGAAAGATCCAAAATTGACACCCTAACATCACAATTAAAAGAACTAGAAAAGCAAGAGCAAACACATTCAAAAGCTAGCAGAAGTCAACAAATAACTAAAATCAGAGCAGAACTGAAGGAAATAGAGACACAAAAAACCCTTCAAAAAATTAATGAATCCAGGAGCTTGTTTTTTGAAAGGATCAACAAAATTGATAGACTGCTAGCAAGACTAATAAAGAAAAAAAGAGAGAAGAATCTAATAGACGCAATAAAAAATGATAAAGGGGATATCACCACCGATCCCACAGAAATACAAACTGCCATCAGAGAATATTACAAACACCTCTACGCAAATAAACTAGAAAATCTAGAAGAAATGGATAAATTCCTTGACACATACACCCTCCCAAGACTAAACCAGGAAGAAGTTGAATCTCTGAATAGACCAATAACAGGATCTGAAATTGTGGCAATAATCAATAGCTTACCAACCAAAAAGAATCCAGGACCAGATGGATTCACAGCCGAATTCTACCAGAGGTTCAAGGAGGAACTGGTACCATTCCTTCTGAAACTATTCCAATCAATAGAAAAAGAGGGAATCCTCCCTAACTCATTTTATGAGGCCAGCATCATTCTGATACCAAAGCTGGGCAGAGACACAACCAAAAAAGAGAATTTTAGACCAATATCCTTGATGAACATTGATGCAAAAATCCTCAATAAAATACTGGCAAACTGAATCCAGCAGCACATCAAAAAGCCTATCCACCATGATAAGTGGGCTTCATCCCTGGGATGCAAGGCTGATGCAATATACGCAAATCAATAAATGTAATCCAGCATATAAAGAGAGCCAAAGACAGAAACCACATGATTATCTCAATAGATGCAGAAAAAGCCTTTGACAAAATTCAACAACCCTTCATGCTAAAAACTCTCAATAAATTAGGTATTGATGGGACATATTTCAAAATAATAAGAGCTATCTATGACAAACCCACAGCCAATATCATACTGAATGGGCAAAAACTGGAAGCATTCCCTTTGAAAACTGGCACAAGACAGGGATGCCCTCTCTCACCACTCTTATTCAATATAGTGTTTGAAGTTCTGGCCAGGGCAATTAGGCAGGAGAAGGAAATAAAGGGTATTCAATTAGGAAAAGAGGAAATCAAATTGTCTCTGTTTGCCGATGACATGATTGTATATCTAGAAAACCCCATTGTCTCAGCCCAAAATCTCCTTAAGCTGATAAGCAACTTCAGCAAAGTCTCAGGATACAAAATCAATGTACAAAAATCACAAGCATTCTTATACACCAACAACAGACAAACAGAGAGCCAAATCATGAGTGAACTCCCATTCACAATTGCTTCAAAGAGAATAAAATACCTAGGAATCCAACTTACAAGGGATGTGAAGGACCTCTTCAAGGAGAACTACAAACCACTGCTCAAGGAAATAAAAGAGGATACAAACAAATGGAAGAACATTCCATGCTCATGGGTAGGAAGAATCAATATCGTGAAAATGGCCATACTGCCCAAGGTAATTTACAGATTCAATGCCATCCCCATCAGCTACCAATGCCTTTCTTCACAGAATTGGAAAAAACTACTTTAAAGTTCATATGGAACCAAAAAAGAGCCTGCATCACCAAGTCAATCCTAAGCCAAAAGAACAAAGCTGAAGGCATCACACTACCTGACTTCAAACTATACTACAAGGCTACAGTAACCAAAACAGCATGGTACTGGTACCAAAACAGAGATATAGATCAATGGAACAGAACAGAGCCCTCAGAAATAATGCCACATATCTACAGCTATCTGATATTTGACAAACCTGAGAAAAACAAGCAATGGGGAAAGGATTCCCTATTTAATAAATGGTGCTGGGAAAACTGGCTAGCCATATTTAGAAAGCTGAAACTGGATCCCTTCCTTACACCTTATACAAAAATCAATTCAAGATGGATTAAAGACTTAAACGTTAGACCTAAAACCATAAAAACCCTAGAAGAAAACCTAGGCATTACCATTCAGGACATAGGCATGGGCAAGGACTTCATGTCTAAAACACCAAAAGCAATGGCAACAAAAGCCAAAATTGACAAATGGGATCTAATTAAACTAAAGAGCTTCTGCACAGCCAAAGAAACTACCATCAGAGTGAACAGGCAACCTACAAAATGGGAGAAAATTTTCGCAACTTACTCATCTGACAAAGGGCTAATATCCAGAATCTACAATGAACTCAAAGAAATTTACAAGAAAAAAACAAACAACCCCATCAAAAAGTGGGCAAAGGACATGAACAGACACTTCTCAAAAGAAGACATTTATGGAGCCAAAAAACACATGAAAAAATGCTCATCATCACTGGCCATCAGAGAAATGCAAATCAAAACCACAATGAGATATCATCTCACACTAGTTAGAATGGCAATCATTAAAAAGTCAGGAAACAAAAGGTGCTGGTGAGGATGTGGAGAAATAGGAACACTTTTACACTGTTGGTGGGACTGTAAACTAGTTCAACCATTGTGGAAGTCAGTGTGGCGATTCCTCAGGGATCTAGAACTAGAAATACCATTTGACCCAGCCATCCCATTACTGGGTATATACCCAAAGGACTATAAATCATGCTGCTATAAAGACACATGCACACGTATGTTTATTGCGGCATTATTCACTACAGCAAAGACTTGGAACCAACCCAAATGTCCAACAATGATAGACTGGATTAAGAAAATGTGGCACATATACACCCTGGAATACTATGCAGCCATAAAAAATGATGAGTTCATGTCCTTTGTAGGGACATGGATGAAATTGGAAATCATTATTGTCAGTAAACTATTGCAAGAACAAAAAACCAAACACCGCGTATTCTCACTCATAGGTGGGAATTGAACAATGAGATCACATGGACACAGGAAGGGGAATATCACACTCTGGGGACTGTTGTGGAGTGGGGGCAGGGGGGAGGGATAGCATTGGGAGATACACCTAATGCTAGATGACGAGTTAGTGGGTGCAGCGCACCAACATGGCACATGTATACGTATGTAACTAACCTGCACAATGTGCACATGTACCCTAAAACTTAAAATATAATAAAAAATAAATAAAAATAAAAAAAATTAAATTTTCCAGGGGATTATATAAAGAATTGATTAATTTAACTGAAAGCTTAGTGAACTTGGTTAACTGTCTCTTAGAGTTATGCTAATTTTTACATAATGTTTATTATTTAGTATAAAGCTAGAGGCAAAAATAATTTCAGAGAATTATTAACTCATAATTTAATAACTTAGTCATGCCACATGCGCCTGTTTTTTATACGTGACCGAGATGCCTATGTGAACTCAGAGATGTAGTAAGCTCCTATATTTCAAGCATAGGGTAGGAAAGGACCTCATTTTTATTTGCTACATCTGAGGTTTATGCAGTATTTGTTGTGGCTATTACTACAATTTTAAATCAAAATTTGGTGTCAAAATTTATGATGTCATGTTTCTCCTTCTGCATTGTGTTGTCATCTTCACCTAAGATGAAAGAAACCAAGAAGTAGCCAATAAAAACAGATTTCAGGTATACACTACTGAGTATCTCAGCAACCTCTTTTAATACAATATCAGTAGCTTTAAGAAATATATCATCTAGCTTAAGATCTAGAATAGCAAAGCATCATTTTTTTAAAAAAGAACAAATTTTATTTTTAAAGCAGTTCTACTTTTACAGCAAAATTGAGCAGGAAGTACATATACACACTGTCCCCACAGATTCTCCCACAATCAACATTTAGCTCCACACTGGTGCGTTTGTTACACCAATAAGTCTACACTGACACCATGATCAACCAACGTTCATAGTGTAGACCCAGGTTCACTCTTGGTGTTGTACAATCTATGGATTTAACAAATGGATAATGAAATTATTTGCTAAAATAGTATCATAAAAAATAGTTTCACTGTCCTGAAAACCTTCTATGCTCCACCTACTCATCCCTCCCTACTTGCTAATTCCTAAGAAATACTGATTTTTTACTGTCTCCATAATTTTATTTTTTCTAGAATGTCATATAGTTGGAATCATATAGCATTAATATTGCCTGTTTAGATTGGCTTATCTCACTTAGTAAAATGCATTTAAGTATTGATAGAATTGATATTTTGAAAATAATTAAGAAAAAATGTAATATAAGAGAAGCAAAGTAAAGGAATTCAGTTTCAAATTTTACCCAAAACCATCCCTACTCTTCTTGCTTCTTTAAATACTGCTCACAAAATGAGACCCAGGACATAACAATATGAAGCTTAAAGGAAGGTCAGTTCACATTTTATTTTTATTTACTTTCTTTAACCGAGGATTGTAAAAAGCCAGTCATCGGTATTAGACACCTGGGAATTATATTTGGTGCTTCTGTGCTCTCCCTTCCGTTATCAAATTGTCACCAAATCCTGTCTCTTCTACTTATCTAGCAGTTCCCATTCTCTGTAGACTAACTTTTCCTCCTGCAGTTTATTTTCTCATTTTTTCTCATATAAGGGACATAATTTCATTACTCTAAATATTCTTTCTTTCTGCATGTATTTTCCCCTTCTATCTTTGGCATTGCTCTTATAGTTAGCTAGCTAAAAATCAAAGCCAATATTGCCACTAACTTAATGAAAATAGCAAAAAATCAGCATAATGTACAATGTTCTTAATAATTTGACTGTTTTGCCCTTCATTGTTTATATCCAACCCTTACCTATAGACATATTAAATTGCCTGAGGTTTTAGGATATTCCATGTTCATGAGTTTATATTTGATGTTTAATTTTAAAATGCAAACTTCATTCCCTTTATCCACTTAGTGTACTCTTATTTATCAAATATACATTCATTCAATTAGTCAACAAGTACTTACTGAAAACTTGCTCTGTGCCAATCACTGTCCTTATCCTGGGGCTATCAAGATGGAACAAGACAGCACAAGATTTAAAAAAAACCAACAGCAACAACATTAAAATAATGGTGCTTACATTCTAGTGTGGGAAACAAAAATAAATAACAGTAAAAATAATCATATAATTATATAGTTTCATATAATACTAGAAAGTCACTAAATCCTATGATAGAGAATATCTGTGAGCATCTGAGAGACTATATTTGATAGAATGTTTGGGAAAAAGTTTACTGTTAATTGAGCTTACAACTAAATAATAAAAAAATAGCCCCGAAGAATTGAGGGCCAAACCATATAGGCAGACAGAAATATATAGACAACCCCAATACATAGGCCCTTGATGCATGAGGGGGTCAAACTTGTGCTAGAATTGAAGACAGGCTGTGATTGGGTATAGCTATGGAGGGGGAGTGGTATGGGATAAGATTATAAAAGAAAACAAAAGACAGATTATGCAAAATCCTGTGGAACATCATAAGGGATTTACATTTTGCTCCAACTGCAAATGAAAGCCTTTGGAGACCTTTAGGGACAAGATGATCTGATTTATATGTTAGTGGATATTCAAACTGATTTATAGAGAATGAATGGAAGGTGAAAAAAAAGAAATGAGGAAATCAGTTTGTAAGTGATTAAAAGTAGCTTAAGAAAGAGATGGAAATGACTGGAGCCAAGCTAGTGGCAGCCAAGATAGAAATGCATAGATATGAAATATATTACAAAGGTAGATATTAAAAATCCTCATGGTGCCATAAATCTGAAAGATAATACAGAAGGTATGCGGTGTCAAAAGGCGAATTATATCAAAAATAACTCTCAGTTTTATGGGTATGGTAAGTGGGTAAACTATACATTATTATTATTATTATTATAGTTATTATTATTATTACTATTATTATTTTGAGACGGAGTCTCACTTTTTCGCCCAGGCTGGGGTGCAGTGGCGCCATCTCGTCTCACTGCAAGCTCCGCCTCCCGGGTTCACGCCATTCTCCTGCCTCAACCTCCCGAGGAGCTGGGACTACAAGCACCTGCCGCCACGCCCGGCTAATTTTTGGTATTTTTAGTAGAGACAAGGTTTCACCGTGTTAGCCAGGATGGTCTCGATCTCCTGACCTCGTGATCCGCCCCTCTCGGCCTCTGAAAGTGCTGGGATTACAGGCATGAGCCACTGCACCCAGCCGATCATACATTATTTTTTAAATGAGGAATAATGGGGGAAAATCAGGTTGAGCTTTAATCAAGAGTTTTGTTTTGGATAATTTAACTTTTAATTTCCCTTAAGGTATTCTACTCAAAGTATCCAAACAGCAGTTAATTCTATAAATTTGGGTTTCTCAAATGAGGTCTTTGTCAGAGAAGGAAAATTGCAAGATAGCAGCATGTAGCTTTATTTAAAGATGTGGGAATCTCTCCCAGTTAGAGAATGCAAATAAATATGACAGGAGGTCAAGACCATATTTCAAGGAGATTTAATATGTATAATTTGGAGGCAAATCAAAAGAGTAAACTATAAGAGAGAAGATAATCTCAAGAAAGAACAGAATGTCAAACTCTGTTATGTATTCACAACGTCAAAGAGGATGATGACCAAATAATGTCATTTGAATTTGTGAATAAGGACATCATCAGAGGCTGTCATCCCAGTGAAGTTATATAAACTGAAAGTAGACTTGGTTGTGTTGAAGAACAAAGGAGAAGTTTTAAAATGTGTTAAAGAATAAATGAGAATTTGTTAAAAGGAGTCAAGATGTATGAGGCACTTTTAAGAGAATTTCTTTTTGAGAAGGAGATAAAAATCAGCACTATCTGGAGGATGATACAGATAGAAAGAAATATTTATAGAAGGTGTATTCTGACATAATAGAATTTATGGTGTATGCTAATGGTATTGCCTCATTAGAAAGGATAAATGTGAAGATTCTGGGAAATGTTAGTAAAAACACATGGCCTGCACTTTCCTTTGTTGGATGGTGGGGTATTTCCCACTTGGGAAACAGGTAGCTGCATGTTGACTTACAGGTTTGGTTTTAAAAAGATGAAGGAATTCATGTTTGAAGTATAAAGCCATTAGCCACAAGGTTGAGTGAGAAAAGGGAGTGTTCAAGGTTCAGAGACATCATTTTGATTATTAAAGAAGCTCTTGAAATTGTTTAAGGTGTCGATCTTGAGTGTAGAAGAGGTATGAGGAGAAGAAAGAAAATATAATCTATTTACCTTAGAGGGTGGGAATGTAAAAGCTTACTAAAAAGATACAGTAGGACCTCTGTCTGGTATTGTTGACCATAGGCCCTGGCAATGACCTCCGAATTTCATGAATAAAATTTATGATCATGAATTTAAAGTAAAGTCAATTATATCAGCTTCTTACAAGAATTATTTAAAGTCTAAGATGTAAGCCCAGAAGAGATGGATAATTGGGTTCAGGCTCAATTGGGTTTCTGTTACATAAAAGGAGACAAGGGCATTAAGGCTATTTTCAATGTTGTGATTATATTAACAGATCATGGAATTTTAAGCTGGTCAAGAAAAAGAGAGGAAGTTGATGAATAGTGAAAAAAATTGTGAGCTCAAGATCGTGAATATCTGAACAACTATGGTACTCCGGAGTGCAAGAATATGTGAACTGCAAAATAAAATTACTGGGTCAAATAATAAGATGAACAATTGGAGATCATAGATGTGATATAATTTCTGATAATAATGGTTTTATTAGATATAATGATTAAGTGTTTATGGCATAGAAACTAATGTAACACACGGTTACTTATTGTCCCCTTATTTCTTTTGATAATAAGCCCTCCACTTTTCTTCAGAACACATGGAAGCAAAGCTAAAAACCTATGCTCTTCAGCATCCTTTATGTCATCCTTTGATCTTGAGAATGATTTGTGCAAGGTACAATGAGTAGAATTTATGTGGACAATTTCAAAGTAATGTCTTATAAAAAGAAAACTCTCTGCCCTCTATGTACTAAGTTTCTCCTTCACTATGGACTAGTATGGGGACAAGGTGCTAGCGATTAAGCTTTGACCATGCCAAGTAGGGCAAAACCTAAGGCATGAGAGGACAAAATTTAAAGAAATTTGGGTTCTCATATGGTATTGCATAACTGAGCCATAGTGTCAGCTGTAACTCTTATATGGAGCAAAAAGCTTCAAACTTTTTTGAGCTGTTGTATAGTATGGAGGAATGAGGCAGCTTACTCACTCAGGATTTACCTTTTGCAATGAAAGTGGCATCTTGATCAGATTAATGGATTAGCCAAAAAAAAAAGAAAAAAAAAAAGAAGGAGAAGAAAAATAAGAAAGAAAAGAAAGGGACATCTCGAGGTAGCAGTCTGATGGGGTCTTGCATAGTAAAGTCAGCCTAAGAACACTCACTCAGTCCTACTCTGCATGATCCATTCAATGGCTACTTATTCCTTGCTCTTGTGGTCCTTCCAATATTACAGGTGTCAAGAGTAGTAATTATATGTTTGCCTGTTTGTACAGTGATGTTGTATGCCATTCAGGGGCAGAGACCCTGCTTGTTTTTCATCTTTGTAACCTCAATGTCTAGCAAATGAAAAGAGTGATTCAATATATGTTTAAGTGCCAGAAATAACATAAAATTGTGCTAATTGTCAAAATAAACGTGAATGAGACACTTTCTATCCTCACAGACTTTACAGTGTAACTGCAAAACCATGAGTAAGGGCAGCCAGGAAGTGGTGTAGAAGTCCAGCTCAGAAAAAGGTTTATAATTATGTATGAATAAAAAATGAAGCAGCTATTAATACTGAGGAACCATGGGATCCATACTCACATCCCATTCATTGCCTAATGTTGTGGTTTCCCATGACATCGCACATGCAGTATATCACTCCCAGTTGTGTTTCCCCTATTCAGATGATGCTTGCACCATCCCACTTTCTTCCAAAAGAACTTGGCAATTACATTGGATTCCTCCAACTCTTCCATCTGTAGCCACATGATTGGTTACTGAGTTCTGTAGTTCTTACCTTACAGATATTTTATAGGTCTGTGTGTGCCCTCATGCTTCATTTCCAACACCACTTGTTTATTTCAGGCCCCTAATCTTTCTCCTGTAGATTATTTCATGTCTCTAGTTTCTGGACTCTATTATTTGTCCTCCAATCACCTCCCCAAATTAATTTTTCACATTATTCCAGAATATCATATCTAAAATGTAAATATGACCATGTTAATCATCTGCCTCACAACTATAACAAGTTCTTGGTCAAATGACATATGACATTTATGATCCTCTCTGATTTAGCCCCCAATTCAGCTTCATCTACTCCCAGTATCTCTGGCCAATTTTTACATTTCAACATTACTGAACTACCCCTAATTACCCATCATTATGTCCATGTTACTGTCTCTTTTGTTCTACGTCTTCCTGGAACTTCTTATAGTTCCCAGCAGGCTTCCCCACTACTCCCATTCTTGGCCTGCCTTACTCCTTATTAAAGCATTTCATTTTCCTGAAAGACTTCTATGTTCTTCTACAATACCCTGTGTATCTCACTACCTATTGAAATATATATGAAACTATTTGATTACCTAGATGTCTTCTCTTCTAGAAAAGCTATTCAAAGTGTGTATGTAGCTTATTCATTGCTTAAATATAACAAATAAAATGTTTTCAAGGAATTCAATGAAAATATTTAAAATTCTTCATATAGCAACTATGAATTACAACATTAGATAAGAATTTATGTAGGCTCATTAAATTTCAATGAAGACTTTTTATAAGGCATTTTCTAATGAGACTTTAGAAAATCTGGTTAGGATTGTTTCTGTGGTATTTTGTGTTGTTATTGTTGTTAAGTTCTACATTCATCAGAATTTGTTTAGAAAGAATCTTAAATCACATAGTTTTAGAATGCTAGTATGCAAGTATATTAAACTGTGATTTCTAGCATGAAAATTCCCAAAGAAACTTATATGTCTATTTTAGGAATTTTTGTCATCAGATTTCATAACACAAGGAGAAAAAATTTTGTTGAAAATATTTTTTGACAGTGTGTTTTGGATGGGTAAGGTTGCCAGTACAATACTGAGCAGAGGTAAAATTAAATAATGTCATTATGCTAAATGAAGCAAGTTGATCCATGAATAAGAATACATAAATAGATTTTCCTCTCTATGCATAAGGGGGTAGGAGGAATGAATTAAAACTTTCAGGAGATGGGATTGGCTTGGGGGCAACACCCTGCATACCAGACATTATTTTACAACGAAATCTTTATTTATGCTTTACCCTTGAAAATGTAAAATCCTCCTGCACGTTTTGGGTACAGAATGGCATGCCAGTCGAGCCCTGCGACACTGCTAAAAACACATTAGTAAAACAAGTTCTTGCTTGTTACGCTGATAAAATAACAACTTTGAGTGATGACTAAATGTTTCATTTTCCTTTCAAATATTTTGCTACTAACACATCCTTTTCTGAACTATGCCACAACACAACAGCACTGCGGAGCAACAGCATAGTTTTGTGTCTCTTAAATGGGGAGAGTGACCCCTTGTCCTCATTCTTAAAGAATCAACAGCACCTATTGAAATGATAAACTTTATCACTGACTGACAAGCTTCCACTTAAAAAATCTGTCTTCTTCAAAGGTAAATATGACAACATATGCCCACTGTCCTGCCTGTCTCATAGTCCTGTTGTGTGAAGCTTTCTTTATTCAAAAGAAATTAAAATATGAACCCAAACATAAAGAACTATACTCACATATATGATCAACATTTCTGTGTATACTTATAAATTATTAGATTAGAAGTGAAGTGGAATTATCTCCTGCAATGCATATTTACAAAGAGCTATATCTATATGAATTTTTATAGAGACTTTTTTTCATTGAGATAATCAAATAAGAATTTGAGATAACTGTTTTGCCTCATGGATCTCTAAATGTCCCCAAGTCATCCAAAGTACTCCTTAGATATACAGAGAAATATCATAAAGCAATGATTCACAAAACAGAGAAAATACTCAGTATCAAATTAAAACCTATAAGGAGCAAATGGTTCCTTAGAAATATGTTAATTAAGACAATAATAATTAAACAACCATGAGGTAACAATTTTTCATTAATGAAATTGCCAAAGGAAACAAAATTCCATACTGTTGGTGAGAGTCTAATTAGACAGCCCTTGTAAAAAGCAATTTGCTAATATGAAACAGACATTAAAATATTTGTATTCTTAACCAAGTGATTCCAAAAGTGGTAGCTCCATCCTAAAAAAAGAGAAAAAGCTACACTATCATAATATTAATTACAATGTTAATTATTTTATGAGGGAAATGGAAATTAAACTAGGCATGATGGCTTACACCTGTAATTTCAGTACTTTGAGAGGCTGAGGTAGGAGGATCCCTTGAGCCCAGGAGTTTGAGACCAGCCTGGGCAATATAGTGAGACCCCATCTCACAAAAATAGAAAGAAAATAAAAATTAACTTTAAGGCCCAAGATTGAAGGTGACTAAGTATGTTGCCCAGGAGTTTGAGACTAGTCTGGGCAATATAATGGGCAATATAATGGGACCTAATCTCTAAAATTATATAGATATTTAAAAATTAGCCCAGCAAGTTGGTGTGCACCTGTAGTCTCAGCTACTTGGGAGGCCAAGGTGGGAGGATCACTTGAGCCCAGGAGGCAGATGTTGCAGTAAGATGAGATTATACCCCTGCACTCCAGCCTGGGGGCAGAGCCACACCCTGTCTCAAAAAATAAAATAAAACAAAATAAAAGTAATGCAATGAATCAATTCTTTACTTTCTCAAAGTTATGACAGGTGGTAATGGTACATGTTTAATAAGAATAAATATTAAACAAAACAAAATATAAGCATAATTAGTAGAATGCAAATTTAAGGAATTAATTAACAGCATTTAATACTCAGTCATAAATGAATAATGACTATGATTAAGTAAAACATATCTATGATGATGTGATAGCATTTAATCATCACTTATTTGATTTAACAAATTTTACATCCTTTTGTCAAATTCTGAAAATAGCTAATTTTACAATGTATTCCTTTGTTTTGAATTGAATGGGGAGAATAGAGCTAAACAGACTTCATCATCAACTTTTAAATTATATGTCCCTTTTATTTTTAATTATTTCTATTCAATCTCTCACTTTTTCTCTTCCTCTGCCTTTACTTGTTTATTCTCTGTAGTCTGTAGTATAGTTCTGAAAGACTGTTACCTTCACACTACACAGGTAAAGAAATTATTATACTCCTTTAGACAATACTCAAATACCACCAAATATTGTCAATAAAATATTACTTAAGAGCTTAAGTGTGTTTCTATTTTTGTTAATTAGTTTCTTTGTCTTGTAGTTTAGCTGGAAATGTTAGCTTTCTTACAAAGGTGAATAATGAGAATCAATAATATGTTCTACTAAAATACATATTCTAATCCATAATCTATTATATCTTCACTTATAAGACTTGATATTTTGCAAACATGCATGAGGGAATATTTTTACCAAAAAAAATGCTTACTGCTGGGAAATACAGTAAATGCTATCCCTGTTGTTAATGTCTGCATTTTAATTTTGTATATATACATCAGATTTATGTTTTTGTTTCATAGGGATCTCTAGCAAGATGGAAAACAGCAACAATAATCAGATAATATCAATAATTGTGTTTATATTCACTAATATCAAGATATCTAACTGCTCTTTCAAAGTCCTTTGAGAACTCCCTCAAGGCTTCAGAAAGTTCACATTTTTTTGCTTTGTTGAACTGTGGCAGGTTACTGGCCATAATAAGGACCCAGTGTAGAATTCAGGGATCTACTCCTAATTCTCAGGAGTACATTTCACATCATACCCTATTTACCTAAGTCTCATCTCTCTGGATCACAAGCCAAAGTATCAAAGAGTGAGATTTAGTTTATAAGCATCTTTGAAATACATACTCGTGTTGAGTCATTATCTTCACAGACCTACAGAATGTAGGAGTTAAAGATTATCGAGATCAATCTACCATTCAACAGACAAAAAAATTAAAACTCAGAAGAGGTGAAGCTTGCTGCTTTTTTAATTAAAAGCTATAAATTTTTTTTGAAAAGAAATGTTTTATTTTTAAAAGAAAACATTAGTATTGTTCTCCAAATATTTTTTCCTAAATATACATATATATATGTATCTAAATAAGTGATATAAACCACTTGAAAGATAACTATTTCTCACATAAATAATTTAAAAGGGAGCACAAGGGTCAACCATCTATTTTTTTTAGTTCTCAGAGTTAATGGCTTAATGGGTTATCATATTTATGATTGTAGTCAGCATCTTTTTGTTTTTTTTTTTTAGATCTATCCATTATCTATTATCCATCCATTCTCCAAACTTATTCATCCCAGTTAGATTCAGTCTTGGCAGAGGGTTTGTCATGCCTCTAAAGCTAAGCCAATTTGACTCTTTTTGGAATTTAATTCTCATGTTATTATCTTGGTAAGAGGCCATAATTTTTTTCTCCTCAGGTGCTGACTTCTTTACCTCACCACAACTTTATATTGAGTAGTAAGTAAGTCATGCATTACTTTCTGTGGAGTGTCACTTCTCAATTCCCTAGGAAATCTCTTTCTATGGTACTTTAAACATCTCACTTTAGCCCCAGCTATTAACAGTAACTGTTAATTTGTAGTTATTGTAACTGTGATGTTTCTTCACATTTTCATGAGTCAACGCAAATTTTCACTAAATAATATATTTATGTTAATACATCTCAATTCATTGATTTTTTTCAATTTTCAGAAATGTTTTCTCCAATGTGAGACTTAAATATTCACTTCAGGTGTGAATTTACTAACACCTGCTTATGATGCTTATGTTTAGTTAATTCAGAAAATGTTAATGATTCATAAACTGGCATAATTTTAAATACTTGTAAGGTGTTGATAAAAATAATCTTTATTAAGTATTTTAATATTCAGCTCCTCAAAAGTAAATACGTGAAAGGAAGTCAAGATGGTTAAATAGATGGAGCTAGTAATACCCTCTTCCACAAAAAGGGAACAAAATAGCAAGTATATAACCATACTTAGAATAGATCATATCAGAGAGAACACTGGAACTCAACAGAGAAGTGACCAGAAGCAACAAAAGCCAGGGAGGAGAGGAAAACAAAGCAGCCTGTTTGGCCAGGATCAGCTGGGAGTCTGAGCATCTTCCTAAATTGGGAAACAAGTATGTGAGTGATCCCCAGAAGCCCATATTCCCACCCTATAGATATAAACGGTGAGATAGATTTCAATACCATAATACTTGGTGTCTTTAACACCCCACTGTCAGCATTAGACAGATCATCTAGACAGAAAATGTACAAAGAAACATTGGATATAAACTGCACATTAGACCTAACAAACATTTGTATAAGATTTCATCCCACAGCTACCGAATAGACATTCTTCTCATCAGCAAATGGAACATTCTCCAGGACAGACCATATATTAGGACACAAAACAATTCTCAACATATTCTTTTAAAAATCAAAATTGTATCAAATGTCTTCTTAGACCACAATGCAATAAAACTATAAATCAATAACAAGGGGACCTTTGAAAACTTTATAAATACATAGAAATTAAATAACATGCCCCTTAACAACCACTGTGTCAAGAAAGAAATTAAGAAAGAAATAAAAAAAACTTAAATGAAAATTGAAATACAACATACTAAAACCTATGCAAAGCAGCCAAAGCAGTATTAAAAAGGTAGTTTATAGCCATAAATGACTACATCAAAGAAGAAGAAAGATTTCAAGTCAGCAATGTAATTATGAACCTCAAGGAAATAGAAAAGGAAAAACCAACTAAACCTAAAATTATTAGAATAAAAAAAATTGGAGTAGAACCAAATGAAATTGAGACAAAATAATACAAAGAATCAACAAAATGAAAAGATTTTATTTTGCTTTTTAAATTTCAACTTTTGTTATAGATTAAAGGGTACACATGCAACTTTGTTACATAGGTAAAACACATAATGAAGAGATGTTTTTCTGAATAAATAAAATTGATAAGCTGCTTTCTGGACAAATGAGAGAGAGAGAGACAGAGAGAGAATATCCAAATAAACAATATCAAAAATGAAAATGAGACATTAAAACTTAAACCTCTACAACACAAAATATAGTCAAATGCTATTAAGAACTATATATGCATAAACTGGAAAAACTAGAGAAAATGGGTAAAATGAATTAGGATGATTACGTCAGGAAGAAATAAAAATCCTGAACAGACCAAAAATGAGATAGATTCAAAAATTCTCAACAAATAGTAGCAAACAAAATCCAACATCACATCAAAAAACAATACACCATGATCAAGTGGGATTTATCCCAGAGATGGAAAAATGGTTGAAATCAATAAATGTGATACAACACATCAACAGAATGAAGGACCAAAATCATATGATCATCTTAATAGAGCAGAAAAAAAACATTTAATGAGATTCAACATCCTTTCATAATAAAAACTCTCAGCAAACTAGGCATAGAGGGAACATACCTCAACATAATAAACACTATATATGATAAACCCACAGCTAACCTCACATTGAATGGGTAAAAGTGGAAAGCCTTTTCCCTAAGAACTGGAACAAGACAAGGATGCCCACTTACACCACTCCTACTCCACAGGGTATTGGGACTCCTAGCCAAAGTAGCCAGGCAAGAGAAATAAATAAAAGACATCCAAATTGGAAAAGGGAGACATCAGATTGTCCCTCTTTACTGATGACATAATCTTATATCTAGAATAGCCTAACAGTTCCACCAAAGGAACTCTTAGATCTGAAAAATAAATACAGTAAAGCTGTGAGATACAAAATCAGCATATAAAAACTGGTAGTTTTCTATACATCAGTAATGAACTAGCTGAGAAGAAAATCATGAAGAAAATCCCATTTACAATAGTTACAAAAAATAAAATAACATATCTAGGAATAAATGAATAAATTTAACTAAAGAAGTGAAAGATCTTTACAAAGGAAACTACAAAACACTAATTTAAAAATTGAAAAAGACACAAAGAAACAAAAGGACATCCCATGCTAATGGACTGGAAGAATTAATATTGTTAGAATGACCATACTTTGGTTGTATTGGTAGAAGTGGAAAAAAAAAAGAAAAAACATACTATTCTAAGCAATCTACATATTTATTGCAATCCCTATCAAATCACCAATGTTATTTTTTACAGAAATAGAAAAAAAAAATACTGAAATGTATATGGAAACAAAAAACAGCCCAAATAACCAAAGCAATCTTGAGCAAACAGAACAAAAGCTGAAGGCATCACACTACCTGATTTCAAAATACATAAAAAGTCTATAGTAAGCAAAACAGCATGGCATTGGGATAAAAACAGATGCAGAGGCCAATGGAACAGAATAGACAATCCAAAAATTGATCCATATATTTAAAGCCAACTAATTTTTAATAAAGATGCTAAAAACATACATTGAGGGGACAATCTCTTCAATAAATTGAGCTAAGTAAATTGGATATCCACATGAAGAAGAATGAAACTGGACCCCTATCTATCACTGAATTAAAAAACATCTTCTCAAGAGGAATTAAATATATAAACATATGACTTGAAACTATAAAGTTACCGAAAGAAAACATAGGGGGAAAAAAAAACAAGGGAAAACCTTGGTCTAGGAAAATGTTTTATGGCTAAGACTTCAAAAGTATAGACAATCAACACAAAAATGGAAAAACGGGTCTGTGTTAAACTAAAAAGCTCATAGTAAAGGAAGCAATCAATAGAGTGAAGAGACAACCTATAGAATAGGAAAATAGTATTTGTAAACTATTCATCCGGCAAGGGACTAATATCCAGAATATCAAAGAACTCCAGACAAGGATATTCAACATGACTCAAAAGTAAAAGAACCTAATAATCTCACTAAAAGGTAGGCAAAGAACATTGATAGATATTTTTTCAGAAAAAAAAGACGTACAAATGGCCAACAAATCTATTAAAAAATGCTCAACATCACTAATCATTAAGGAAATTCATATCACATCCAAAATGAAAGATTATCTTACCCCTCTTATAACAGCTACTATTAAAAACCGGCGGGGTTGGGGGAGGTGGAAAGAGACAGCATGCTAGCAGGGATTCAGAAAATAGGGAACTCTTATGCACTGTTGGTTGAAATGTAAATTAGTACAGCCACTATAGAAAGCAGTATGGAGGTTTTTCCAAAAAACTAAAAGTAGAAATACTATACAATCTAGCAATCCGCTACTGATATTTATCCACAGAAAAATAAATCAGTATACCAAAGGGATATCTGCACTCGCCTATACTTGTGCATTTGTTGCATCACTATTCCCACTAACAAAGATTGGAATCAGCCTATGTGGCCATCAAAGGAGAGATGGATAAAGAAAATGTGGTATATATACACAATAGAATACTATTTGGAGATAGAAAAGAATGAAATTCTGCCTCTAATAGCAACATTGATGGAACTGGAGGTCATAATGTGAAGACAAATAAGCCAGATACAGAAAGACAAACTTTGCATGTTCTCACTCATATGTAGGAGCTAAAATGTTTATCTCGTGGAGTTAGAGTTGAATGATAAGATATTAGAGATTGGGAAGTATGTGAATATTGGAGGGGTAAATATTGTGTAAAGAGGCTGGTCAATGGTTACAAACATACAGTTTGATAATAGGTATAAGTTTTAGTGTTTGATAGCAGAGTAGGATGATTATAGTTAGCAAGAAGATATTATATATTTCAAAGTAGCTAGAAGAGAGAACTTGTAATGACCCCAAAATATAGAAATGATAAAAACCCCACATACCCTTGATCATTACACACTCTATGTGTGCAACGAAATATCACACGTATCCCACATATATATCCCATAATATATCCCATAATATATCCCACATACATATATTCCAAAATATATCACATATTTATATATATGAGATATATATACACCATACATGTTAAAAAATTTAAAAAATAAAAAATAAATATAAAAAAATAAAATTTAATTTAAAAATTAGATTTATTTAATTAAAACATTAAAAAAAAAAAAAATAAAAACTCAGTCCACAGGAAATTTGTAATATAGGGACATAATATGGTAATTTCTATAATAACAATAATTGTAAAATAGTCAGCATACTTTTGTTTACTATATTTCAAGGTTTTGAAAATCATTTTAGATGTATAGTATATGTTTCTATCTTCATGCTGCCAAAAAAGGTATTCTATGATATTATAATTATTCTCATATTATGGGTGGGGGAACTACAATGTTTAAAAATTCTTCTAGAGATTGGTGGCAATTTTAAAGCTTTAACCCACACTTGCCTGACAGCAAATCTATGGACTTTGTCTCTAGTCAAAGAAGATATAAATTTGAGATAACGGAAATAAGATGAACTTCAGACTGTTAAATTTAAAACAATCCACATAGTACTTATATGATTAGACATATGAAACAGTAAATAAATTAATCTCTGCAAACTCTAATCAAGACCATCAGGGAGTCAGGATTTGCATGAATGTAGTTAGTCCTAAACATTCTCTTTTTGAAAGTGACTCTGGGCAGGGGGAATGAAAAAGAGGTACTCAGCCTGGAATAATACAAAGAATTCCCAAGTGGATAGAAATTAGAAGTGCCCAAAGGAGCATTGCCAAGATTAGAGGGTGTCACATCAAGGACACAACCTGTGGAGACAGGTGTATAAAAACATTCAAGCCTGCTGCCTTTAAACATGTGATACATAACTGTTAACTGATTCCAGGATCACACAGAAACTTAATTATGTTTTCCATGTACCATGACAAAAAAAATTCTCAACTGTTTCTCTTATAAATGACTAAAATGTAATTGAAATTGGCTTAGGGAAAAAGAGAGTTAATGGATTCGTGGAACCAAAACATCCAGATGAGTAGAATATCTATAAATCTGGATGAGTTCAATCACTCGAAAGAAGTTATCAAGACTTATCTGTCCACCCCGGGGCTTTGCTTTTATCTATATTGGCCTCATCTCAGGCTGCCTTTTCTTTATTGTGGCAATAATGTCCTTTGACAGCTTCAGAAAGTCTTAGGATCGAAGATGCCTTCATCTATTTTAGGTCATGTGTCTAATTATGAAGGCTTTGTCTCTGTCTCATCCAAAGAACTATTAGGCTTAATTTTCTAAAGTGGAACTGAAGTGCTTTAACTAAAACCAGGATGAAAGGAATAAATGTAGACAAAGGCAAAATATGTCTGCTACAGCATGACAATTTTATTTTTCATTATGATTAATAAAACACTATTATGCAATATGACCATCCATTTCAATGAGCAAGATTAGCATGATTATCTGAAAAATGAAGTGCATTTAAGATATCACCAAGATCAAGTTGGCTACTGTGTCAAACACTTATTATACCCCATCCCCTATCTTCTTAGATCCCTGTTTACTCAAATCATTGGTTCTTCTGCTCATTCTGCATCATTTGCTTTCTGTTCTGGGGCTTCATTGACGTAAGGTCCGTGAGATCCCACTGGTCACTTTACATACGTGAGCCTGGAAGTGTAAAGAACGTGACTCCCCGTAGGGCATCCCTGAGCAATGGAGCAGGGAAGCCTGTAGATAAACACTCCCCTCTTTTGTCCCTCACGTGGACAATTCTTAAGATCCCTGTGGGACTCAGCCCAATTACCACCATGGTGACAAGTTTTTTAGCATACCCTTGTTTTGATTGGCGTTCCCTCCAGTTTCATTTTTCCCATTTTCCCCACTCTTGTTCCCTGGAATGACTTCCCAAAATAAACTACCTTCACAAAAGCCATTGTTTCAAGTTGTTCTCTTTGAGGGAAGCCGAGACTGAAAGAGCCAAATGTTAAATTTTGCAATAAGCCTTCACAGACTAAACATAGGTAACATTTCTTTAGGACATACATGGTACCAGACTCTTACTAAACACTTTGTATATTGTATAATCACTTTTAAACTTAAAAAAAAAACACCCTTCAAAACAGATATCGTGATTCCCATGGTGAAGATGAAGTACCATAGTTGAGGAAATATTATACTCACTAGCAGGTGCTGTTGTCAACATTTCCAGTTTTTCTCCTACCAAACCAATGACAGGATTTATTTCCCTGCACTTTGTGAAACTGGGCGTGGTCATACTAAGGATGGAAGACATTAAAAACCAATTTCTGAGTCTCCATATTTGCTTTCCTCTGCCACATTGCAGAGGTGAAGACTCTATTATTCTGAGTGTCACTGAGATGAAAGAAACAGATCAGACCCTCTAGACGATCTGCTATGGGCATAAAGTATGAGATAACAAATGTTTATTTTTTACGGCCACTAATATCTGCAGATTATTTCCTTAACTTAGATTCTCTTGAATGGGGTAGGAGTTCGAACTCCAATAATCTGAATCTAGAAATTATTACACCAACTTAAAAACCACATAATGTAATAACTATATAATTATTGTAAACCTTGAAATAAACACAGCAATGTAAATAAAATTTAAGTAGCTAAAAAAAAGAGACTTGAAAATGTTCCCAAAAGATGGAATAGTACAGTGCTAGACCAGAATCAAGAATGTGGCAAGATTAGCATTTAGAAAGCTGATTATACAGGTGGAGCTAAAGGTTTGTTTAGGGGAGTAACTAAATTACCCTTGGTGAGCTTGGTGAGATAGGATTGGAGCCAAAACAGGAAGGAAATTGGATGTCAGACTAAAAATTTTTTTTAATTTAGGAGTTCACGTGAAGCTATTAAAATACATTATGCAAAAAACTAAGTATTGTGAAAATACTGAATCTGTGTGAGACATGATTGAAGAGTGCCTGAAGAAAATTCACTTGACTCTAATGCATAAAATGCACCAAAGAAAGTAAGAGCAAATACAAGGAGGAAGAGAAGGAAGAGATGAAAAAGAAAAGAAGAGCAGATACAATGAGGACATGTAGGAATAAAGTCTGAAATATGCTTCTAGCAATTAGAGCAGAATTATTTAAAAGGGAAACATGATGGTGCTTTTCTATTGAGTGACTACGGGAGAAGAAAGGTGGTCACAAATTATAGATGACTCAAGAGTTAAAGCTAAGTGGTTAGAAGTCAAGGGTGTTATCATTACAAATATTAGGATCCTAGAAGGAGGATAATAGAGGATTAGAAATGAAATAGCTTGAAAATTCTCAATTGAAGCTCAGGACGATAGTTAAGACTAGAAGTATAGAATTATTTTTTTTCACACATTGTCTGACACAGTGCCTGGATTTTGGGACTGTAAATCTTATTTGAATGAGGGAAGTAAGAATAAATAAAAGTAGGTAATTTTTTTGAAGAAAGAACTATTTTGCTTCCCATAAACTCTGAAGGTATGAAATATGATGTACGCTGTTAACAGGTAGAAATGGTTTTCCTGATTTGCTCATGGTGGTCTCTAATTTCTAATTTCAGGTTAGCATATATATTGGTCTCAATCACTGAAGACTGAGAAAACCAAAAAGCAGCTCTATTTTTTTTTTTACTACTGCAGCAACCATAAACCATCTAAAATTGTAAGAATTCTTCATATTAAAAACTATATCTTAATTGTGTAAATGTCATAGCTATTTCTTGGCTATTTTGTATTTAAATAACATTTTCTGTTTCAAATTTTATGTGAGGAAAAATCCTGCTAATACTTAAATACTTTTGTAGTTAGAGTCAGTCTTAAATGCTTGAAAATTATATTAGTAAAAAAGAAAAGGATAACAGAGAATGTCAATACTAGTGGACTGTGGAAAGAGGGATTAAAACAACACAAACCCATATAGGAAACCCTCAACTGAAGCTCAACATACACTCCTTTGTTTTCCCTTTGTCCTATGGAGGGCCAGAAACCTCACCTCCCATTAAACAGCGAATTGCACATGTCTGGAGACAGCCTACATAGATCTCCCCAGGCTCCTTTCACATTTGTCCCTAGAGAGAAAAACAATAATTAGGCCCTGCTCAAACAGGCACCCATTAATCTTTTCTGGAAAACAGCAATTTGCAATCATCAGGTGCACATTGAAATCTTATATAAGCAGTTTTAAAACATATTTCTGGAATCCCTGAAAAAATACTATCATTTGGATCTTCCTTACTCTAATTAGGTATTTACTTGAGTAGTCATTTAAAAAGATAAGGTGCAGAGGCAGTTGTATTTTAGAAAAATGGGACTATTTTGCCTCTTTAAAATTACTTAGTTATATCTAAAAGGCAAGAAAAAAATTTATGTCTAATCTTTCATATCCCAAATCATAGAGAAATTTGATCAATAATTCTCAATAATTTCTATTATTGAGACAAGAAATGGGATTGCAGGGGCCAAGGAAAAACTCTCCCTTCACTCACTGAAGATTCACTGAAAAATCAACTCAGAAAAGGTAGATTAATAAGAAAAAAATGAATACTATTTATCAATGCATACATGGGGAGTATCACAAAGTCATTACTCAATCCCCCAACGTGGTGCAGAAGCTTATGTACCATCCTGAGGTTACAGAAAAGGTGGAGTTCAGAACATGACCCAAAATAGATTATGATGATAAATCAGGTCATAGTGGCAAGACCGGAAGGGAGAGAAGAGGAGCACCTTGGCTAGCAAAGGAGGTGTTATTATGTAGATGAAACCTCACAGGTAGCAGCCCTCAGAGAGAATAGACAGCAAATGTTTCTTTCAGATTTTAAGGTGTCAGACTCTCTGATCGTCTCTCCCACATCTGCCCAAGAAAAGGCCTAGCCGCATCAATACAAATTCTGTACAGATGCAAATTTTCTCCCCAAAACAACAGCTTTGCAGGGCTATTTCTGTTCGCTGGTCTTAAACTGCCATCTCAAAATATATATGTAAAAGAAATATATTTTGGGGTAAAATATTTTCATTTCCTTCAGGATAATTGTACAAGGTGCTAATAATACTGAGATGAGAGAGGATGATACTCTCAAACTCTAAGACTTCACAATGAAGAAATGTAAGGTCAGGGCTAAGAGGCTACCAAAACTCACTCAGGGGAATTTATGTCACTGTTCTAATATGTTTCATCTTCAGTTTTACAATAAAATTGGAGGAGGAAAGGATTCACTGAATAAACTTTTATATCTTTTAGTGCATCAACTAGTACCTACAGTTCAAATTTAACATAATTATGCCAAAGTTACATGGCAAAAGAAACAAAAATATTTGACCCTAAAATATGTCTTTTTTTTTTTTTTTTTTTTTTTTTTTACATATTTTGAGATGCCCATTCAGAGAACTTGCAGACAACAGTAGCCTAGTGAATCTGCCTTTCGCGGAGGAAAATTGCATCTGTAGAGGAAATATAGTGAAGTAAACAGACACAATTGAGCTTTCTCTGAGGCCATCCTGCGTCTGGATATAGGAAAGATTAAGTGAAAGCTTGACATCTCTAAAAATCTGACAGAGAAAGATTAAGCAGAGATCACTATCTATTGTTTCTGAGGGCTGCTATCTATGAGGTTTTATGTTCCTAACAAGATCACCTTTACTACCCAAGCCTCCTCTTCTCTTCCTCCAGTAACGTGTCTGGCCACTATAACCTGTCAGGCTTCTCTCTAATCCCCTATTCTTTCTGTAACCTCTGGATAGTATAAAAGTATCAACCATTTGCCTTTCTTTGAGTTTTTGTATTTTGTATGACTCCCTTGCATATGTGTGCACATAAAATATGTGTGCCTTTTTTCTATTAATACGTTTATTATCAGTTTGTTCTATAGACTCACCTTATCAAACTTTCAGGGGAAAAATTGGAACTTCCCTATAAATGGTCAAGTAGGAGACACACCAGAGTGGAGGCGTGAGATCTTCGTTCTAGGTGCCATCCAAAAGACCATCAGGATAGCTAAATCATAGAAAGAAGAGCTTTTTTGGTGATATTCGTTTACAAATCACAAAGAAAAAGTCTTTGATATGGGCTGAAGGTGCTCTCTCTTCAAAAAGGGCCTCATAGGGCCTATATCACACAATAGAGTCATACATATTTAGCAAGTTTGGGGGAAAAGTTTTATGTCTTTCTGAGGGAAACCAAGCACATGCACAATGAGTAAACATAACTATGACATACTTTCCATGTTCACTTTGGAGCAGAGTGCTGGCATAAAAATGGATGAAATTTGTCTCTTTACGTCAAAAGGTGAGCTATAGGACACCAAGACCATTTGTGCACAGCCCCTATAAGCTTGCTGAAACTGGTTTAAGGTCTGTTATTGCTTATCAGCAAAGATTGTAAGGCCAGTCCTCTGTCTAGTCAGGGTTGTAGTAGTGGTCTGGTTTATAAATTAGAGTTAGGAAGAATCTGATATCTCCTATTGTTAAAGAGTTTACAACTGTAGAAATTTAGGAATTTTCCAAGCCAACTAGGCCCTAATTTTGATCTCAACTCACGTAAGTTTCCCTCTGCCATATCTCACTATGTCTGTCACCTTAAGCAAGACATTTAAAATAATCTCACCTTCCTGGGAGTGAATTTCTTCACTGGAAAATTTATATATATATACACACACACACATAAATATATTATAGATAATATAATAATGTGTATATAATATATATATAGACACATATATATGTGCATATATCTATGTGTCTGTGTGCATGTCTGTGTGTGTGTATATATATATGTGTGTGTGTGTATATATATATATATATATTTTTTTTTTTTTTTTGAGACGGGGTCTCGCTTCATCACCAAGACTGGAGTGCAGTGGCCTGAATAGGTCTCACTGCAGCCTTGACCTGCTGGGCTCAAGAGGTCTCTTACCTCAGTCCCTCAAGTAGCTGGGAGTACAGCCGTGTGCCACCACACCCAGCTAAATTTTGTATTTTTAGTAAAGACGGGATTTAGACATGTTGCCCAGGCTGGTCTCCAACTTCTGAGCTCAAGCGATCTGCCCGTCTTCGCCTCCCAAAGTGTTAAAATTATAGGCTTGAGTCATGGCGCCTGGCCCAGAGATTTATATTAAAGTGATCACATATTTTTTTTTCTCAAAGGGCCAAATATTATATTATTGATTTTTTGTCGATGTGTAATATTTGGGATAATTTTGGCTCCCTAATCAAGTTGCAAATTATTAAACAATGAAAATAGGACCAAAAAAAACTTAGTAGTTTTTTAGTACAAAATGGAAATCTTTTCTTAAATATCTACAAAAGGGATGTCCAGTCTTTTGGCTTCCCTGGGCCACATTGGTAGAAGAAGAATTGTTTTGGGCCACACATAAAATATACTGATAGCTGATGAGCTAAAAAGAAATATCTCAAAAAAAAAATCTCATAGCATTTTTAGAAAGTTTATGAAGTTATGTTGGGCTGCATTCAGAGCTGTCCTGGGCCATATGTATGTCGCCCATGGGCCATGGGATAGACAAGCTTGATCTACTTGAAGAAAAAAGATGATTCCAGTAGCTCTTACTAAACACTTCACAAATAAGAGAGTATTTACCTGCAAGAGACAAACCACAAAAAAAAAAAAAAAAAAAAAAAAAAAAATCAAGGAAATTATGTGAAGTTCTCTTGCCCTAGTGATTTATTTTTATTTTATTTTATTTTTATTTTTTTTGAAATGGCATCTCACTCTGTCACCCAGGCTGGAGTGCACCCAGGCTGCTCACTCTGTCACCCAGGCTGGTGTGATCTCAGCTCACTGTAACCTCCACCTGCCAGGTTCAAGAGATTCTCATGCCTCAGGCTCCTGAGTAGCTAGGATTACTGGCACCCGCCACCACTACCAGCTATTTTTTTTTAAATTTATTTTTTATTTTTTATTTTATTTTATTTTTTTTCAGTAGAGATGGAGTTTCACCATGTTGGCCAGGCTGGCCTCAAACTCCTGAACTCAAGTGATCCGCCCACCTTGGCATCCCAAAGTGCTGGGATAACAGGCATGAGCCACTGCACCCTGCCCACCCTAGTGATTATTAAAATGACACATTAGCAAGAACAAATATAGACTTCCTGTAGGAAAAAAGAGAGATATTTGTCAGACCTAACTTAATGTGTGATTATTTGATGGGTTTCTTACTAAGCTAAACCACAGGAAGAAAAAAGAGGGTATTAAGGAAATTAATGCACCTCTCATATTATTCTCCTAGTGTTTCATTCTATGTTGACAAATCTACTGTGAAATTTAGAACAGAATATATCCAAGTTTAATGCAGAATTTTAGGTAGCAATACAAAATTTGATAGCAATGGAAAGTTAATATAAGCATTTTTAAAGGAGTCTGATTTGTTATGATAGTCATGGTACAACTCAGTGAGGTTTACCATATGAAAATTCTGCATTTGCCATTTGAATTTTGACAAGTGCCTAAAAATATGATTTTATTATGACTACAATTCTCATCACTTCTGGGTATTTTAACCTTGCATTTCATTATTTCTAATGACATGGGTGGCTACATAAACCAGAAACATATGAGAACCATGAGCTCCAAAAGAAACTACAAATCTTAACATAGGGTTATTTACTTCTATTGGAACTAAGTCGCAAGCAAGCCCTAGCTTGGTGGTCTCCAAAAAAGGGTTTTGGAGCCCTGCATTTGTTTTATGGAACTCATATAGAATGTCAGACAAAATTACCAAACTAAAATATTAGAGTCTTTAAGCAAAAGTTAGAGTTAAAGAAGGCCAATTTGGAAATTAGGGTCTAATGGGACTAATTATATAGCCTGGTCTTTTTGCCCTAGTTACAAAGGCTTATAGAAAAGGTACTCACCAATGTATCAAAACACAGAGGTCAGTTAAGCTACAATAACATATTTAATCTGAGCAGATGCGTTATCATTTAAATATTGGAAAATAAGATACCTGGGGAAAGAATTATCTGTATCTATCTATCTATCTATCTATCTATCTATCTATCTATCTATCTGTAGTATTTAGGCAAAGATTATATATATATATATATATATACACACACTGTCATATATAGAGAGTATATATACTCATATATACATATATACACTTATATATACATGTGTGTATATATATACGTGCATATATATACACACACTCATATATATGTGTGTATATATACGCCTGCATATATATACATATATACACACACACACACACACACACACATATACATATATATATATATATACACGCACACACACATATATATTAGTTAGGCTTACTTGAAGTTTCTTCAGGCAGTCATCCTAATAAAAAAAGTCATGTATGAACTAACATTGCACTTTTCTTAACATTGTAGAACTACCAGTAAGATGGAATTTGGTATAAGGCAGTTATAACTGGGATATAGATTAGTTTTAAAGTTAACTTAATGCTAGAATAGTAGCCGCATAGCTATGGTGAAATTGTACAGGAAAATGGTTGCTCAAATTATAAAGTAGAAACTGAAAAGTTAATAGTGTAACCACTCAGATAATTTACCATGACACTCAAAGGCATCATTAACTGGACTGAATAATGAACAAAGAATATGCCAAAGTTTGCTAGATGACTATTTAAATTTTCATGGTAAAATAACTTCAAAGGTAAAATGCCTATTATAACTAAGATATGTATTGATAAAAGCAAGTAAAATGAAATATAATATGATTAATCAATGAATTTTTTAAATCTTCATACCTTAATTATTCATTCAACAAATATTCATAGAATAACTCTTGTGTGTCAAGGTTCTATACTAGGTTCTGGGGATAGGTACAATTTATATTAATAACTTTTTTTTTCAGAGAAACAGTAGCATTTGTGAAAAAAATCTTAAAGCTTTCTACATGGGTAGAAAGACTAGTCTGAAATAAAGAGTGTAGTCATAAGATTGAGCACAGTTAGAAACAACGCAACAATCTATCCCTTAAATGCCAAATCATGTTCCCAAAATAGAAACAGGACTAGATAGCCCCTCAGAACAATGAAGACTGACATTTAATACTTTTTGAGTTCCAGCCCTGTAGCAGCTTGGAAAGTTATATTAAAAATGGCTTTAGATGAACGAATAGTACAGCCAAGACATGGTATTACTGATCTCAGTCACGCACAATCATCGTCAGCCAAAATTTCTTTCCTTTTTCTGAATGAATGAAAATGAACAGAAGGAGGAGAAGGAGTAGATAGTGGAAGGAAACAATAGACTCTGAGAAAGTTTATGTCTGCCCTACAATAAAAAGTGAAATACTTTGCTCTAAATTAATTGTAAATGATTATATATATATATATATAACATTTTTTGTATATGTGTATATGTGTATGTATATTCAGATGAGTATGTTTATTTCTATAATAAAGACTTCCTAATGTGAGAGATATGATTTCAACTCCTAAAATTCTTATCAATCTTATTTTTAAAGCACTGAAAAATTACATTACTATTTTATTTTCAGATAAAGACTACAAACTAATGGTTTACTGACATGATTCTATCAGATTTACTTTTTCTTTCCAGACTTCTATGTATATACAAGACATAAGTAGAAAAGGTCCTGAACCAAACTAAATAGTAAGTCAGAAGGCTTTCCTGTAGGAAGACACAACTACGGTTTGTTTCACTGAAAGCCTTACTACTCAACAGTATATATTTTTTAAACCAGAATTCTTTGTTTATTAATAACAGCCTCTTTTCAAAAATATTTTTTTTCCTTCTATGTCAATTCTAATGCTTTGTTATGGTCAAGGGTCAGTCAAGCACGTGCTGAGCTGTGAAAATACTGAATAACATGTTTTTTTTTAATGTTGAAGATTTCTGTGTTGTTATAAAGAAAACTAATCCCTTTGAAAGGTTGATTCTATGCCCCATCTCCTGTCACCCCAATACTCTGAAGAAGGGAATGGAAGTAGTTAAAAAGCACTGGAAGTTTTTTTTTTTTTAATAGAAATTTGGTCCTTGTTGGGTGGAAAAACTTTCCACTGAAAGTCAAATATTTTCATAATGAAGGAATAAAAAGGTGATTATTTTACTGAAGGGGTGTTTTATTTGATGGTCAGGAAGACACCCTTGATATTTACTTTATTCTTGTAGCCACATCCACTGAAGTCAAGGTTCTTATTTAAAAGCTCATTACTACTACTGAAACCAAATAGAAATAATGAACAGAAAGCACAGCCCATCAGAAATTCCATGTTCTGTTCACAGAAAACACTCTTTTGTCACTATTTCCCCATATGGAAAATGAAGTAAATACTTAATGGTAAAATCACATTTATAGTCTCAAATGCAGGTACTGGAATCCAGAGGAACTGATTACAGATCCACGTCCCTAAATGACAGTGCCTTGTAACTACTAGCTGATTATGTTGTGCTGATTTATTTACAATTAGAGGAATAATTTGACTCCCCAAAGAACACATTATCTAATAAGTAATAGTAAATGACCACTGGAAAAATCTCCCCCTGCAACTGTCCCAGTCACTACCATAAAGTGTTGTCTTATAAATTCAGAAAGATTAATAAAACATGTCTTTCATAAAAAGACTTGCTATGTTTCATGTGGAAAACCCTGTATGCCTTGGGGAAAGGCTAGAGTTGTAGCTTGGGATTTGTCTAGGACAATGATGCAAAGCTGAAACTTTAAATTAGAAATTCCTAACGTCTCAGACAAGTTAAAACATTCTCCTGACAACCACCACCCCTTAAAAAAATTTCTTAACAATACTATCACCTGTCCCTGGCCCAGAGTGTCACAGAGAATGGGACATCTAACGTTTTCTGTCATTCTTTGCTCTAAATTCTAGCAGTAGAAATGAATGGGGAATCTATATCTTTTATTAGGGTGGGAGAATGTACCAATTTGTAAATAGTGTCCAAAAATCATGATTCACTCCAAATACACAAAAACTACATCATTTTAAGAGTAGGAAAGTTAAGTCTGGCATACTGAAAGGCTAAATAAATAACTTCAACAATCTGAGAGCATAGCTTAAATTTGTGTGTTGAATTCACTTATAAAGAAATACACTGATGTCTAAAGCCTATTTTTGGACTGAAAATATACTAATTGGTTTATACACCCAATTTGGACTAAAAATTTTATTATATATACATTAGTTTATATATTTTAATATACATTAAAAGGCTGTGTTGAATACATTGCCTCCATGTATAATATGCAATACATGAAGTGTTATGAATATATTTATTATATGTATTATATATTGGTGTTACATTACCTAATGCTACATATATGTAAACAATTTAAAATTATAATTTTTTTCCTTATGCTAGTAATAACATAAATAAAATACAAATACATTTAAACAAACTTTTATGGCTACTGAGAAAAATCTTACATGTTTTTTTGATAATCTTTTGCAGTAAGATGAAAATATCACTTTAGAAAAAGAAAAAAGTACCATTAAATTTCTATACTATTGTAATATTACACAGAGAAGTCTAATACACTTTAAAATTTTAATTCAATATTTGCTATATTGACAATGCAAATAAACATGGCATTAACTACTGTACTTCAGAAATTGCCGAAAATTTATCAATGAATTATGAGAGTAGGCTTAATTTGAATATTCTTTAAGATAGAAAACCAAAGCCTTATTTGTCTTATTTAAATTTTATCTTAGTCCATACCTCTATCTTTTCTAGAAGATACTATCATGGAAAATCACCAAGAGAATTTCACTACTCATTGAAAAGTAATTAAGATAAGTCTCTACAAGTACAACTGAAAACAATGTAAACTTTTCTGATATACAAATCCCATTTAAATTTTTTTTGTATATTAAATCAAAATTCTGTGGTGTAGGTGACAAATTGCTATCTTGACATGAGTGGCCATGCTGGAGTGCAATGGTGTGATCTCAGCTCACTGCAACCTCCACCTCCGGGGTTCTAGCAACTCTTATGCCTCAGTCTCAGTAGCTGGGCTTACAGGCGCCCGCCACCACGCCCAGCTAATTTTTGTATTTTTAGTAGAGACAGGGTTTCACCATATTAACCAGACTGGTCTCAAACTCCTGACCTCAAGTGATCCTCCTGCCTCAGCCTCCCAAAGTGCTGGAATTACAGGCGTCAGCCACTTCCCCTGGCCGAATAAACATAAGTTTTAAAAAACTTTTCATTCCTGAAGTTAAGGAGCCAAATCAACTTGTTATAAGCTGATTTTATAAAGCAATTAGAAAAGCTAAACTTTGGATTCTCGAGGTTGACTAATTCAATAATTCAACTACGTTTTGTAATAGTTAAAAATTAGATGAAACAAAAAATTTGAAGTATGTCTAATACCATATGTGGTATGTAGTAAACAGTAAATATTAGTTTCAATAGAAAAATGGGTCTTAAATCTGGCTGCACATTAGAATAAAGGGAGCTTTTAAAAAATACTCACATCTTTTAAAAAACACTGAAACCTGGGACTCATCCTCACAAATTGACTGCCTGATCTTAAATGAGAGAAGTATCTTTCTCCAAAAAATTCTGATGCATAACTGGAGAATTAAGAACCATTGACCTTGCAATGTTAGAAATCTACTTTTAATGTAAATATGTACTAAATATCTTCCAGAGCATATACAGTTAATTAAGCAATATAGTGCATAATATTTATTTTTTTCCCAACTTTTGATTTAATGTTTCCTTAAGAAATGCAGTATGGGCCGGGCGCGGTGGCTCAGGGCTATAATCCCAGTACTCTGGGAGGCCGAGGCAGGCAGATCACTAGGTCAGGAGATCAAGACCATCCTGGCCAACAAGGTGAAACCTCATCTCTACTAATAATACAAAAGTTAGCTGGGCATAGTAGTGTGTGCCTGTAATCCCAGCTACTCGGGAGACTGAGTCAGGAGAATCGCTTGAACCAGGGAGTCAGAGGTAGCAGTGAGCCGAGATCGCGCCACTGCACTCCAGCCTGGTGACAGAGCAAGACTCCATCTAAAACAAACAAACAAACAAACAAACAAACAAACAAAGCCAATATGGCAGAAAACTAAATAAAAGAGTCTAGGGAAATTCAATAGTTCTAGCAAAAAAGATGGGATGGAATTCATAAATACAGTCACTAAAAGAAATATATAGAAGAAATAAATATTTTTAAGTGTTTCCATTAAGCAGTTTTTACTAAGTTTATGTCTAATGTTTGCTGTGGAATCTATTGCTTCCCCAGGCTGTGAGAAAAAGACAAGTTCTGGGATGTTGATGTGCTATCCACAATGTGTTAGAGGAAAGTAAATTGTTTAGTAAACATTAAAGTACATTTCCCAAATAATTTTGGTTGCTCTTTTGTTGTCACAATCATGTTCATAAAACTATTTGTATCAGACATAGTGACATTTTTTCCAGTTTATAGACAGATTTAAAAGTGATACATAATTAGTTCCTTCAAAATATTCTATTAAATATAGATTAAAAATTTGAAAATTATTTCCCCTACAATATCCTTTCTTAAAAGTATACGTAAAAATATATTTAGAAGATATCATAGACCTCTCTTTCTAAGATTTATGAAAATAGGTATTCGTGCATGAGTCTTAATGCATTATTTGGAAAATACTTCTTTTGTCATGAAAATCTTTTTCCTCCTTAGCTCCACATTCTTTCCATGAAAAACAAACAAACAAATAAACAAAGTACATCAGATATATAAACTTCTGCAGTTGATAAATTTCAGTCAGGAGAGCCAAATCCTCTGTGTCAATTGGATACTCTTAGTTGCTTATATTCAAGGCCCTCTATGCGGGCATAAAAATGCATGAGGTGACTAGTCAATTAGTCTTTCCTCTCAGGAGGTCTGGTTTTGGCCAAGCATACAATAAAAGGACTCTATTAACTTAATTCTATCTGCAATTTGTGTACATGACCCAAATCACCTCAGAGTAAATTATGATTAGTTGTTCCAATTCATGAAAGAACTAGGACTAGAGTCACACTTGAGGTCCACAGGGGGATGGTGAAACTATGAAGGAATTGTGTGCAGCACCTGCCCATACCATGCCCTGCTTAATCAACTGCCTCTCCATGGGGCACTGGAAAGAAGGCTGGAAGATCACCAAGAGCTGTTTATACAACTGGAACCATTCCATCTCAACTCCAGTGAAGCAAACAACAGTGAAAGGGTCCTCTATTCCAATCACCCAATGAAAACAATATGAAGTGGACATCTTGGGAAGTAAATCACCAGGAACATTAAGACATCAGGGAGTGAACGTTTTTTAAGTAGTTCAATTAATCAATTTTTACTGTTTATCTCTAGTGTTTGCTGTGGGATCCATTGCTTTCCTAGCCTATGTTAGCCAAAATGTTGATGTGCTATCCATAAGAAAGTGAGAGAAAATCGTATGTAGGTTACAACACAGTAAAATCTTCTTTTTCTTATTACATGCTTCATTGAGTAGGCTCTTCTTTACCTGTTTTCATAGCCTTCTAAAGTTCTGTGTGTCTAAAGTTTCCAAACACACAAATTATGTAATCAATATTTCCTATATAAAAATAGCTTATATAACATCTGAAATGGATATATTTTCTAAATAAAAAATCAGTTAAAATGAGGATTTTGGACTGTTTTTCAATTCTACTTCTAACTTAATTTTCCATGATATTTGTGTCATTTGGATCTTTATAATTCTTATTATAAGCATATTCTTTGTTAATAATGTTATTTTTTAACTGGACTGGGAATAATGAAAGGATTTTATGTTTGTCTACTTGGGAAAACTGCACCTTGACAAACAGAAAACAAAGGCAAAATTGTACTGTACTAAATATTAAGCTTTATATCCAACATACTATTTCAAAAATGGAAAAATAGTTAAAAGTTAGCTATTTCCAAGTAGATTATATATGCCAAGGATGAAGAAAGCAGTTGGAAACTCTGCAGCTCTGAAATGTTGTTGTGATTAGCAGGAAAACACAACAAAGTGCTCACATCAGTGTTCCTTAATCAGTGACTCAGAACAAACACGTTGGCCATCAGATTAACAGACTTTTCCACAGGCAGATCCAGTAAATACAGAAGACTGAAACGATCCAAAGATAAACTATAAAACTAAAAATTGCTGTATGTGGCCTCCAGTTATTTTATTCTCTATGCTCGCTAGACTATTTACCAGGATTTTTTTTCTTATTAAGGGAAGAGTAAGCAATACATCTCTGAAACATGTGTCAGTAGTTTAAAAATGTGCAAAGCAAGGCAAAGGTGTGATTCCACTTCCACAGCGAAAAAGCATGCATTTCAAACTTATGAAAAAAATTTCAGCCATGTATGAAACTTGTCACCCAGACATTGATTCGTTCCTTCTTATTCCTCATATATGCATGCATAACATCATCAAGATTTTTTAATGATAGACGTATACCTTATGATTGTTTTCATAATGTATTCTGCAAAACATGTTTTTTACTCTCATATGATTCCTCAAGCAACAGTACAAATAGGGATACTAGGAAATCTTAACATAACACAGATTGCTGCCAAATTGTCAGCTGTTGCTGGATGAATGGTGAGACTGAGACACATTTTTACCGCCTCGGGCTAACCGTTTTAGATGACACATCTGTATACAGTTGTCCAGTTAATACTAGTATAAGTCTTCACTGTTGTCATAAATAATATAACTAAGAAAACTAGAGGTGCAGTGATGCCTTTCCTCTGGAATGTAATGTGAGGATTATAACCAGGATAGTTACCCTGTTGATCAGTCACAACCCTAAGCTCGTCCCTGGGGACTGCTGAAAGCATTTCCAATTCTTCATGTCTTAAGTATGTAATCATATCCTAGAGACTTCAGTTACATACTGATAACAATTGCTTCTTTTCTAGAAGGCAAACCACACCAACCATAGAAGAGGAGAATTAAAACTTCTATCCATAAATTTCACATGCAAACACATGACAATGATTGTATTGAAGGTTGTCATCTGCTGTCATTGTCAGTAGTCTCATCAAGGGACAACTGCTAGTCTTGCACTCCAGAGGCCTTTTAACTTTTAAATTTGTGATTTCACACTTGAGACAAATCTGCTGTCATTTAAAAAGACAAATGCAAATTCTAAAGAATTAATTTCCCTGTAAATACAAATGAAGAGGTGTCCTTAGCCTCATTATTTTGTAGACTTTTAAAGAGGATCTCCTACGATTACTGGAAAATTGCAAGTAAACGTGATGGTAGAATACATAAAAATTCCAATTTTTTTGAAATATAAGTTAAATGAGAAACAAATAGTCTTATAAATTATATTTTCTAGTACCTTTGCAAATGCCACTGTATGACATTTTCATTCATGTACATTTCTTATAAAATAAAATTGAAAGCCTAGCCCTCATAGAAAATTGGAGTGAAAACTTCCAGTCTATTATCAGAAAAAATAATTAGTTAAGGAGTTTAGGTAATTGTGATTTGATTCTGGATGATTTCTATAATTGTATCAAGTTATTTTTTTTAACTCAAAATGTATGTTGAACTAGTTTCTATAAAACATCAGCTGTTCTTGGTAAAATAATTCATAATAAAGACAAATTACCATATTTTTCAGTGACGTGCCCGTAACTCTGCAAACTAATTTAAAATGTATTTAATACTGGTAGGAACCAAACAAAATAGCATAATTTATGAGTTTCTGATTTTTATATTAAAAAGTTTATTTAATTTATTGTATCATTATTGTTATATGTGAACATGACTTTTAGAGATTTTAGGCTCATTTTTAAACTTAGGAATAAAGAAGGCTATATAATAGCCATATTTTGAAAATGCAGAGATTAGGAATTCTAATCTCATCCCTTCTTTGAAAAAGTCTATTTTTTAGTCTTTACCTCAGTTTTTACATCAGTACTATATATAAGGCATTAATAATTTAACTTGGTATTTTTTAGCATATTCACTTACCTGATTTACAGACATTTTAAATACAGAATTTCTTTATAATAACCTACTCATTCTTTATGAACGAATAACCAATGTAAAATAAAAACAGATCCATTAGGAACAATTCTTATTTGAACTATCATGCTACATAAATCCAGTAATAAACAGCCCTTAGAAAGGCTAAGTAGGGACTGAAACTCTACTTCCAGATGGGCAGACATTTATTTCTGTTGATTCCTCACTTTTTCCGGGCAGTTCCTTTTACCTATCACTCCTCTTATCAATGTCACCGGACCTACTTCTTGATTTTTTACTTTGCTCTAAGCCTGGTGGAAGAGGAGTACTTTTGTAGCCAATATGGAAATAGCATCCTCAAGTACACGTCACTGTCTTTGTATTAAGTGTATCCTCAGCCCCTAGCCTCTCCCTCACTGTCCATCCTCCAGCTTTTCTCAGCTTTTCATATCCAGATCTCTAACTACTGCCCCTTTGGGGGAAATGTCCATGTTAACTGCAGTTGGTTTTCCACATATGTGCAGATGAAAGTCCTTTAGCATTTTGTGTACAAGACAAACAGCACCAATGTGTAACCTTCTATTTTCTTTTATTCCTAGAAGGCTTACAGGAAAATAAAGTTGGGAAGGCAGGAGGGCAGGCAAAGTTTTACGTTTATTTCTTTACTTTTAGTTGTTATTTACTCTGAGAGAACAAATTCTTTTTTGTTTGCTTCAAACATCAAAGTGCAAGAGAGTAAGCAAAAGTGTGTTTGAATTCTTTGTTAGAGCAGGGAAGTACATATTTTTTTTTTTTTTTTTTTTTTGCACGTGGGTGATGAGCTATAGAGAAAGGGGATTCCTGTGGTTCATAAAAAGGAATAAAAGAGTCATTAGCATTCTGGTAAGCACTGCTGTCTCCCGGGTACATGAGATAAAGGGCAGATAGGCATTAAAATACAAGAATGAATCAGCTACCTCCGTTTCTTCCCCATCTGTGTGTCCCACATCAACCTGTTATGTGACTACTGAAGCTTTCTATTCTTCAAATACCCAAAAGTCATTCTTTTTCCTGAGCATTGGCTACCAGCACCTCAATACGTCTCCTAGGCTTGCCTGGCTGGAGCTCCCATGCAAAGGATTTGAGGACCTTGATTAGTGGTTTTTAGTGGGGCTCTTCTATGTTCTGTTGCTCAGAAATGGAGGTGGTGGGAATGAGTTCCAGGTTCAGTCATAATCAGTGGTTCATGTGTTCTCATTTTCCAAATAGGTATTCAGTTTCTGATAGGAAAAGTGGTAGAAAAGAAGGTCAATGAATGGAATTTGCTTACAACAGCAGGCAGGATATGTACTAAGTTAAATAGCTTATTTCAGGCTGAACGTCTAGACCATTCACTACCTGTAAGTTCGTTTTATGACAGCTTAAAATTTCTGATATAAAGACCTTTAAAACCTAAATATCTTGTTCATTCATGCTTCATTTACCTAGAAAATACACAGTTTTTCCATGTACTTTATTCGTCATCTGACATAAAATTTTCCAAGTGGTAGAAAAAATACATTTTAATTAATTCACTCATTAATGTGTTTCATAAACATTGAATATCTTCTGGATTAGGCACTCTTTAACTTTATTTAAATAGATAAAGGACTTCCATGAAACTGCAAATATTTAATATATCAGTTATATATATTGGTACTTTTTAGCATACATTTCTTTTCACCTTTATAGGCTCTCAAAGAAGATGACATTCTCCACAAAAGGTAATAGTTGGAGTTAGAAATAGACATCTTGATATTTTTCCTTTTTTCACCTGGCCTTTCAGAGCTGAAAGGTCATTGAAAAGGAGGAAGTACTTTTAAGTGTATCCTGTGTCTTGTGATCTAAGGTTATTTAAATAAGAAAGCACAAGAAATGGAGAAGTTGCCTCCAAGAACAAGGATGTTTTTCTTTCATATTGCATTACACAGAGACAGGTTTTCTGGGGCCTGAAAACTGCACAGCTGTGTGCATTTGTGTTTAAGATTAGGTTTATTGTGTTTAGCTTGCCTCTTCTTTTACGGTTACTCTTCCTCAGCTGTCCATCTTTCCATCTCACTTTCACGTTTCAACTCTCAAAAAAATGTGGAAGATAATGAAATGTCTGGAATTTCTTTGGTGTATGGATTCAAAGTAATAGTGAAATAGCCGTGCTCTACTGGACACTGTCATTCATGAAATTGTGTAAAATCTGAAAATAAGCATTCGATTAACTGCTCAGACCATTAAAAAAAAACATTTTAAGGAAAGTCTAGGAATTAAGAACATAGGAAGGATTAAAATTTGAATTGTTTAATGAGGTGAATTTCTGACAAAAAAAACTTACAACTTTGAATACAGACTATTTCTTATAAGAAATAAACTTTTCCCCTTTCTTCCCCCCATCTCCCGATCTCAAGTTTTCTGAAATCAACTCAAATGACAAAATAACACAATCCTCACATTGCTATCTTTTGTTTACTTTTTCTTATCTGATTAATAATTAAATTTTATTTGTCTCATTTTTATTAATAATACATATTTACACAAATGTGCATATTAAATACGTGTATTTAGTATCTTATGAATTTTGAAGAAAAAAAACCAGAACATCTTTGGATGTGCTGTGTTGGGTGATTTTAGCTTCCTTTTTGGTTTTCCCCCACAAAAAAGGAAAGGGAAAATTCTACTTAGTCTCTTGTTTTTACAGACACTGAAAATCTACTTGCTTTCTCATTCTTAAAGAAATTACATTTTCTGTCAAGCAAGGATGTCCTATTATCAAATAATGTAACTCATGCAAGATTTGAAAACTAATATGTGATATTTCCCAGAAATATTTTGGTTTTTATCAGACACATTTACTAATAGATTTCCAAGCTTTAAAAAGTTAAGGTTAATAGTTATTTCTGGAAGATCAAGGAACTCCCTGTTGGATCCATGCTCTTGGATCACAGTATGAAACAGTTTATTTTTGCTTTTACGACCAGACTTTGGGGTTCTTTTTAACTTGATTTGTTCATCTCAAAGTCTGAAAAACCAAGATGTATGAAAACTGTAGTATGAAAATTATAAAGCTGTATAAACTCTTCTTATTGTGTATTTCATTAATATTCCTATCATCTTAAATACTATTATTTTGTATTTTGCAAATGTGGTACTCTTAGTTTTCACTATTCTGTAACAACCAAAGTAGTTCAGAAAAAAAAATAGCTAAATGTTCAGAATTAATAAAACTGCCACTGTATACCAAGCATAAAAAATTGTTGCTTTTATGAAGTTCAAAGAAGTTATGGCTACTTGAAGTCTCCTAAATATTGATTTGTGAATTTTGTGTGTGTTATGGAGTAAATTGTGTTCCCGCTTCTAAAAATTTCATTTTGAAGTGCTAACTTCCCCCAAACATGACTGAATTTGGAGACAGGATCTTTACAAAGGTGATTAAGTTAAAATGAGATCATTAGGGTTTGCCTGAGTTCAGCTGGATGGGTGCCCTTGTGAGAAGAGGAAATTTGGACAAAGATTTGTATAGAGAGAAGGCATGTGAAGACACAGGGAGAAGATGGCCATCTCCAAACCAAATATAGAGGCCTGTAATCAATTCTTCCTGTGGCCTTCAGAAGGAACCAATTCTACCTATACCTTATCTTAGACTTTTAGTCTCCAGAATGGTGAGAGAATAAATACTTGTGGTTTAATTTATCTAATCTGTGGTACTTTGTTATGGCAGTCCTAGCAAACTAATATGGTATGAAAATTATCAATTTCTTATGAGAAAATAAAACACATAATTTGAAAATAAATTAAAATTAGTAATATGCATAACTATATATATTTAATTGCTATATTATCCAATTAATGTTAACTCAGTATGAATGTAGTACTGATATTCAAGCATATATGGTAGTAAAATAATAAGGTAGCCTATTCAAGCATATATGGTAGTAAAACAATAGAGTAAATAATCACTAACAGAGCTTGATTAATCTGTGTTTTTGAGCCTGGTTTACTATAGTACCTTTTCATTACAGCAACTATAACTTTTATTTATTATAACCCATTAACATATCTTTAAAATTTCATTTTTTTGGAAAAGTATTTAGCTAGAAGTTTTTAAAAGGAATATTTCCAATAAAATATTTTAGTCTAACTATAAAATTAAGAAATGCAAATTCCTTCTCTAATTTTAATTTTATGTATTAACATGGAACAGAAATGGATTTAGTCCTATCATTTTATAAATAAGTAGTTTTTCTTTGTACTTAGACATTCTTTTTAAATCAATGCAATGCCGGTGTGAAAGGTGAATTTACAAAGCATTTTAATCATTGATGTGTGACTAACTCTATGGATTGCTTGGGTTGCTAAGGTGGCATTAACAATAATTGCAGGAACTACTCACTGCCTTAATGATATTGCTAACTTTGACAGGGACATATGCCTTTTCACAAATGAAAAACAAGACTTGAGTACAAGACATTTAACAAAGCAGTTAATGATTAATTGCTAAACAAATCATATACAATAAATGCTAGTTAGAAGGAGTGAATACTGGGGATATAGTGGTTTTGAAAGATACTTCATAGCATTGCTGCTGCTGTTTTTAATCAACTTTACATTAAATACTAATATTCAGAGGTAGTTACAAAGCCATTTTTTTGTCAAAATGAAAGTTTGAGAAAATTTTGAATTAAAAAAAGGAAGTTGATTTTGAGGTTAAGCTGCCAATTGTTAGTTTCAATTTTGATGAAATGCATCAATGCCTCTAATTTTTCATCAAAACATAACTTACTTTTTTTTTTTCACTAGAACAGAACTCATGTGTGTTAAGGCAGAGTATTTGACATGTCCTTTCACTTGGTTTCCCTCTTGAATGGTACTGTAAGGCTTACATAGGCAGTTCATTAACACATGAGTGAAATCATCTGTTTGTGTGTTCATTCTTTGGCTTGCTGCAAACTCAAAATTTTGGGTGTTTTAATCTGTGCTGTGCTAACTGTAGCAATTGCTACAACAACATGAATAACACATTAAAACAAATTTTCGTAAGTTATCATGAGAGATTTTTAAAGACAAGTTTGTTGAACAGCCAATGGCACTCTGAAATTAGAAATTCAGGCAGATGGGGACTTGTATTCATTTCCCTGAGGGTGCTGTAATAAATCACAAACTGAGTAACTAACAAAGATAAATTTATTGTGTTACAATTCTGGAGGTTAGAAGTCTGAAATAAAGATGTCGTCTTGGCCATAAACCCTCTGGAATCTATAGAGAAGATGTAGAGAAGACTTCTTCCTTGCCTCTTCCAGCTTCTGGTGTTTGCCAGCAATTCTTGGAGTTCCTTGACTTGTAGATGCATCATTCTTCTATTGTCACATGGCTGCTTTCTCTCTTTTCTCTTCTTATAAGGACACCAGTCACACTGGAATAAAGACTCATCCTTGTCCAGTATGACTTCATCTTAACTAATCACATCAACAACAGTAGTATTTCCAAGAAAGGACACAGTCTGAGGTACTGAGATTTAGGACTTCAACATAGTTTTTTTGGGGAAGACACAATTCAACACATTGAAAATGATCTCAAATGTGAGTAAAAGTTTACCAAGCTGAGAGGGTTAGAGCCAGGAAGCCAAGAAGTATAAGTTTCCTCAGAAACCAGTGGGGCTTTTTCAGAGTGGAAACTCAATAAATATTTATAGATTGAAGGAATGAATACAGGCATGGAGAAGAGCCCGTAGAAATGCAGAAAGATATATATTAGGTTTCTATTGCTGCTGTAACAAATTACCACAAATTTAGTGGCTTAAAACAACATTTATGTATAATTTTATAGTCCGGAAGTCAGGAGTCTGAAATACGTCTTGCTGGACAAAATTCAAAGTCTAAGCAGAGCTGTAACCTTTTCTGGAACTCTAGAGGAAAATGTGTTTTCTTGCCTTTTCCAGCTTCTAGAAGCCCCCTGAATTCCTTGGCTCCTTACTACTTCCTCCATCTTCAAGGCAAATAATGGCTAGTTGAGTCTTTGTCTTAGTGCCACCTCTCTGGTTCTGACTCTTCTGTTTCTCCCTTCTTCATTTAAAGTTCATTGTAATTACATTTGGCCCACCTGGATAATCCAGGATAATCTCCATATTGTAAGGTCAGCTGATTGACAGCCTTAATTCCGTCTACAATTTAACACCCTGTTGCCATTTAATAGAACTATTCTCATGTTCAAGGGATTGGGACACAAACATCTTTGAAGAGCTGACTATTGAGGCCCATTAAAATTTCACTGTTCTTGATAGAAAATTGGTTTCTTCATAAACTGATAACAGAAATTTTTTTTTTTTACCCAGACTGCCTCTGGGTTTACCTGTATATTAATTTATGCATGGATTCATTTAGAAATGTCTGCTATGCGACTGGAAACTAGGCAAAACTAAATTATTCCACTCCATGACCTCCCGGTCTAGATAGGAAACTATACACACACACACACACACACACACACACACACACACACACACACACAATAATTGCAGTACAATGTGAATTGATTTAATTCAGGTTCATTTATAGTTGAATGACAGCACAATGGAAGAACACAAACATTTTTGTAAAAAACAACAGGATTATGTAAATTTCATTAAAAAAAGCTGGCAATTGAAAATGTTCTCAAGCTTGGGTAAAAGTTTACCAAGTATAAAAGGTAAGATCCAGGAATCCAGGAAGAAGTTTCCTCAGAAACTAGTGGAACTGGAGAGACTTTTTCAGGGTGGAAACTCAATAAATATTTACAGATGGGAGAAATGAATATAGCCAGGGAGAAGAGCCTGTAAAAATTCAGAAAGACAAATAGTAGAAGAGTATTTTCTGGGCATTATAAATGGTACTTATCTCTTGGAGCAAATGACACAAAAAGGGAGGAGATAAGTTGGTATTGGGAAGAGTTTAAATTCAGGTAGGTGGGCTTGTATGTCAGCCAAGGGAACTGAGACTACAGACGGAATGATGTTTCTTACCCTTTACAGGAAACTAGACCGTTTTAGAATCTAATGAAACCCTAAAATCTCTCTCCTCATATATATGCATATATGAACCTTCTATATGTAATTGGAAAGGTTATGAAGATGCTAATTGAAATCTATAAATCTTATCTATAGCCTGTAGAACCTAGGGTAAAAACCAAATGAGGGAGACAATGAAAAAGGAAAAAAGAAAATATCTGCTATAGGCAATAGGTATAGGAAGTTACTACCAAACCATGAAGAAGTTTGTAACCTAACGGGAATTATGTTCATAAAAATCACATTGTCCTGTTAATAAAATTGAGGAGGATAAGATTGGAAACAGGGGAATAGGAGACTAATTCTCATATGTCTGGATGAGAAATCCAATGGGCCTGGGCTAAAGCAACAGCACTCTATTTTGCTGTCTGAAGGCAAACATTTTAAGAAAGTTCTTAGTTATTTGGTATATGATTTAAGAAACTGGGGTATAGGAGAAAATAATAAAAAATGGATGAGGAGGAATAATACCAGTAAGTATTACAATTCTTGAGTGTTTTAATAATATTAAGCTGGGTTCACTATTTCCAATAGATTTTAATGGATTAAATATAGGTTTCCTGAAAGCAAACTATAAAGAGGCATAGAGGGAAAACACTATGGCATCAACAAGACAAGCAAGACGTATATCAAGCAATTATCTTTAATAGTTTTACTGAAGTATTATATAATATACCTACCATAAAATTCACCTATTGCAAACGTAAAATGACTTTTAGTAAATGGGTAGAGCTGCACAAGCACCACCACAATCCAGTTTAGAACCTTCCTATCACCTCTCAAAAGTTCTTCCATGTTGTGCTGACACCTCCACATAGCTAACCCCTGCTTCTAATAGTGTCGTTAGAATCACAGTAATGTTTCTACCTCTAAGAGTCTACCTTTCCTGGATATTTTATATAAATAGAATAATGTAGTATGTAGTCTTTTGCATTTGGCTTCTTTCAATTAGCATGTTTTTGAGATTCAATGCTGTTGCAGCACGTATCGGTAGTTCATCCTTTTATTAACACATAGTGATTCATTTTATGGACATGTCATATTAGTCTTATTCATAGATCTGCTGATAGAAACTTGGATTATTTCCATGTCTTGGCTATTATAAATAATGCTGCTATGAACATCTCATGTACATGTCTGTGTAGACATTTAACAAATAATTTGCATTTATTTTTATTATTATATTTTTAGAGCCAGGATCTCACTCTGTAACCTAGGCTGGAGTGCAGTGGTGTGATCATAGCTCACGGCAACCTTGAACTTCTAGGCTTAAGTGATCCTCCTGCCTCAGTCTGCTGAGTAGCTGGGAGTACAAATGTTCGCCATTATGCCCAGCTAATTTTTTCATTTTTTGACAGAGTTTTGGGGCATCTCACTTTGCTTCCAGGCTTGTCTCAAACTCTTGGCCTCAAGAAATTCTCTTGCCTCAGCCTCCAAAATTGCTGGGATTACAGGCACGAGCCACCACACTTGGCCTACATAGCCCTTTAAAAATTTACTTTGGTGAAGTCCTAGGAGTGAAATTGTTGGGTCATGTAGTCACTTAATGTTTAAAAGTTTAAGACACTATCAAACTGTTTTCAAAAGTGGCTGTGAAATTTTATATTTCCACAAACAATGAATGAAGTTTCCCGTGTCTTCACGTCCTCGCCACATTTGCTACTGGTACAGTGATCCCAGACTGTTTGTGATGGTATCTCATTATAGTTTTAATTAGCATTTTCTTGATTATTAATGGTGTCGAACATTCCTTAATTTGATTATTACCCATCTGAGTATCTGCTTTAGTGAAATGCCTATTTAAATATTTTACAAATCTGTAATTGATTTTTTTTGCCTTATTGAGATGAAAGTGTTCTTTATATATCCAGTATAAAAGTATTATTTCAGTTTTTAGTAAGATATTTCTTCCCAGTCTGTGGTTTATCTTTACATTTTATTAATGGTATCTATTAAAACATGGTTTTTAGTTTTGATAAAATCCATTTTATCAATTATACCTTTCTGTGCATCATGTCTTTGGTGTCATTAAAGAACTTTGCCTACTCCAAAGTAGTAAATATTTTCTCTTATTTTTTTCTTCTAGATGTTTTATAATTTTTAGCTCTTATGTTTCGGTCTATGACCCATTTTGAGTTAATTTTTGATGTATCAAAATTTTCTCTTTAATATCAATGTTCTCTTCAGCCATTCGACCATTTGTTGAAATTATCATTTCCTCATTAAATTGTTTGGGAAACTGTCAAAATCAATTAACCATAAATACAAGGATTTACTTCTGGAGTTTCAATTCTCTTACATTAATCAATAGTCTTATTGCTCCACCAATAGTTCACTGTCTTCATTACTATGGCTCTATAGGATAGTTTGAATCAGGTAGTATAACTCTTCTATCTTTGTTCTTTCTCAAAACTGTGTAGCTATTTTAGGTCCTTCGCATTTCCATCAGGTTCTGGAGTCTGTTTATTTTTCATCCCTTTTCTTTGGTCTTCAGATGAGATCGTTGTAATTGATCAGTTTCAGTGGTTCTCTCTTCTGCACCTTGAAACTGCTTTTGAGGACTTTTTCATTTAAGTGGAAAAATATTTCATCTCTAGAATTTTTATTTTTAAAAATAATTTCTATGTTCTTATTGAGAAATTTTATCTGTTGGTTTATTTTTTATTATACCTTCCATTAATTCTTTAAATGTGGTTGCCTTTTCTTTATTTAATGTATTTGTAATACCTGTTTTAAATATTTTTTCTGCTAAATCCAACATTTGACAATGCTCAATTTCTATTATTTCTTTTTTTCCCAGAGTATGGGTGACACTTTTCTATTTTTGTGCATATCTCATAATTTTAAAAATAATATAGATAATATAATGTAGCCACTCTAATTCAGATTCTGCCAGCCACCCTTCCCCAGCAAGGTTGTTATTGCTGGTTTGTTTCTTAGTTTGTCTGTTTCATTGTTCAGTAACTTGTTTTGGATAAATCTATCTCCTCCTTGGTGTGTGGCCACTGATGTTTTCATTTAACGTTTTGTTTTTAAATCTAGCTTTCCAGGATTTGCCCCCTGTCTCTATATAGCAAAATTGTCAGTCAATAATTAGAAAAATTTTGTACCAAACATCTGGAGCCAATAAGACTTTTTCATTCTGTTGAATGGTCTATATGTGGGTAGGAGGGTGTATTCAAGTTCAGACTATGTTTGTCTGCCCTAGCTTCTGCGCCACTGTAATCTTTTATGCCTCCTCTACATATGTGTGCAGCCTCAAGGTTGGCTGAGAGTGTGTGGCTGGTTTGAGTCCTCTTAGGTCTCTGCTTTGCATGTACACAGACTCAAGCAAGAATATACTTGCTTTGATCATAACCAAAATGTCATTTCTGCTGATAATATCATTGAATTTGGTCATTGCTCACCATTCCAATTTGAGTGGCTTCCTTTGACCGCAGAAGCAAAACAGCCAGTTCTCATGGACTATCTCATGATATCAGAACCTCCATGGCTACTCAGCCAGGACTGAGAATGGGAGCAAACCCAGGCCAGAAAGCTATGGACTCCTACTGTTCTTATCTCAGTTTTAGCAGTTTAGCAGTTATAAAGGTGTCTCTGATAACTGTATGCCTGTTTTCATTTCCAGAACATGGACATAGTTGGTTTTGTCTCTTATGTTCAGCTTTGCAATTGATTTATGGGGAGGAAAATTGCCAATCTCCTCCCTTAGCCAAAGCTGAAATTCCTACTATATGCCATGAACTGTGCCCAGTACAAAGAAATCAGAATGCAAGGTTGAATTCTAGTAATTTTCCAAATTTCTGATAGATTTCCCATTTTTCTTCTTTATGAAAATACAATGATCACTTTTAACTCTTCTTTTATTAGTCCATACAATACTATTTTGTACTATGTTAAAAATAATAGCTCTTTCTTTATTGAAAGCTTATTATGTATCAAGAAAAATGCTGACTACTTCACTTGCATTAGATCTTAATAAACCTATAGCTATTAATATTTTTGTCTTCATTTAATAGATGAGATATTGTGGCAACAAGTTGCTTATGCTCACAGGTCTAAGAAATGGTTAGATAGCTTGGTTAAGACCACTAAGTACTATTCAGCCATAAAAATGAATGAGATCCAGTAATTTGCAACAACATGGAAAGAACCAGAGATTATGTTAAGTGAAATAAGCCAGGCACAGAAAGACAAACATTGCATATTCTCACTTATTTGTGGGATATAAAAATCAAAGCAATTGTACTTATGGAAATAGAGAGTAGAAAGATACTCACTAAAGGTTAGGAAGGGTAGTTGGGGATTGGGTAAAAAAGAAAGAATGAATAAGACCTACTATTTGATAGCACAACAGAGTGACTATAATAAATAATAACTTAATTATACATTTTTAAATAACTTAAAGAGTATAATTGGATTGTTTGTAACTCAATGGATAAATGCTTGAGTGGATGGATATCTAATTCTCCATGATGTGCTTATTTCGCATTGCATGCCTGTATCAAAACATCTCATGTACCACATAAAAATATGCACTACTATCTAGCCACAAAAATTAAAAAGAGGAAAAGACCACAAAGCAAGTAAGTAGCTGAGTCCAAAACTTAACAGAAGCCCTTCTGATTATAAGTCTTTGCTTTTTTCTTTCTTTATTTCCAAATGTACATGTGTTAATGTAATATGTAAATTTCATTAAGCTGTAATAAAACATCAAAAAGTAACTTTGACATCTCATGAAGTAGAACAACATCTAACAGACAACACACATCAATGTAAATTTAACGGAAATACATTGCCTTTGGGTCAATGTACAGATCCAAAGTTAACAGTTCATATATTTTGATGTGGTAATTTATATGGCTTCTGGTCCTTTACAGATAGGGTACAGCATTTATAAGGGGAGAGTATTATAAAACATTAATTTTTTGTTTAGTTTATATTTATTGAAATTATTTTAGAAGCTAATATTATCAGAACTTTCTTTCCACTCTCTCTTCTCCACAAATAACCTATTAAGATCTCAAGTTACATTAGTACTCTATGAAACACACCTTGGAGAAATGGAAATACATGAATATGAAAAACAAGAGAAAGATCAGGTTTGGAATAATGAGTCAAGTTATGGGATATGAGAGCATTAGGGCAGACAAAGTGCAGAACACTGTAGTCTTAGCTAAGAGAAGCTTTTAAACTCACCCTGAGGTTTTCTTAACTTATAAGAATATTATAAATTCAAGAAGGTATTGAGAAATGTGGCTGTCTGAGGAACAAAAAAATATTTCTTAAATTGTGGTCCTAGTAATGTGGTCTAGCAGTTGATTCATGAAAGGTCATGCTAAGACCAGAATTAAGGGAATGAATCAGAAATTTAGCTAGATCACATAAGACATTCATCAAAAATCAACAGAAGTTCATTTGAGAACCTTCCTCTCTTTCTGCCCCTTTAGTCCCCTCCTCATTCAGTAACACACACATTTGCACTGTTCTCAAAGCTTGTTTTCTAGTCTGTTTCTCCATAGTTACTAGACAGGAAGAAGGGGGACTTTAGAACAGAAGAAATAAAATTAAAATGTGTTTGTGTGCTTTTTACAGAGATGGCAGCTTAAGCAAGAAATTGGGATAAAAGAAAAAAAAACATTCTAATCTGTATTCAGCCAAGCAGAAGATAAATACAGGTGAGATAAAGGAACTATGGAAATCAGAAAAGAAAATATGTGCATCAAATAGCAACACCTGTTGGAGAAAATGGGCAGGAATTGGGAACAAGCTTATAAACATTATTTGCATGGAGATGGAAAATTTCCCTTAAGATGCTCTTCTCTTTGTAGGAAAGTCCTAATTTATCAGATGCTATCTCAATTCAAGGCATCTCATTTCCACCTCTCCTTTAAGTGTTCCCAATACATCATTTTTTTTAAAAAAATAAGATAATTCTTTTATTTAGTCTCATGACACTTTTCCTTTGAATCTCTTGGCTTCAGACATTTAGGAATTTCCAAACAGAAATTGCTGATACAATCCACAACAGATGTGAAGAGATTGTAAAATCTGTGAACAAGAAATACCTTTTCTATGAAATTTTATTGCGTTGTATACTAAATACTCCATGCCACAAAGGCTAGCTTTATTTTGTTTTCTCTTTTAAATCCAGAATGGAGGAAGAATATGTCAGTGTCTGCTCTAACCACAATAAAAGTAATATTTTTTTCATCTCTCCAAGACAGATACAAAGCAAATTGAAGGTAAAGAATTGTGGAGACATTGACAAGATGAAAGGAATTCATATCGCTTTAATCAAAATTTAAAGCAGAAGCACAGGGTAGTAGCCATGGGCAATCCCCAGCTGTCTCTGGGGATTGAGGAATGTGTATGGTTTGTGTACCTCTTTCTGTCTAGGGTTCTTCAGCACATCCATGTGTATCTGGAACAAGTCAATGTTACTTCTTTATTTAGTTTATGTTATATAAGTCCCCATAATATTAATTTTATCCACACATTTTATTCACTTAGTACTCCTGTATTCTACATAGCCACATTCTGTTTTGATTCATTTTTGTATTATGCCTTTCTTTTCTTCTGCTGAGAGTCCATAAACAGAATTTAACAAAAGTCTGATTTCTTGTGTCATGTCTCTGAGGAGCTATTTGTGATTGTAAAGGAATGTTTTCCTGCAGTAATTCTTATGCTTTCTCCATCAACTAATTGGATTAGCTTTGGGCTCATATATTTTTGATAAGAATGTCCCTGGTGAATGGGCAGGTTCTGTTAAAAAGCTTTCACATATTGACATTTGCTTGAATCCAACTTTGGTTTGTGTTTTTCAAATGTGCTTTCAAAACATTTTTTATCAGCATATTTTACTAGTTTTTGACTCTACTATATAAATAAAATTGAAACAATTGAAGAGAAGGGCAGAAACAAATATGTTAAAGAATCACATCTACTAAAAGAGGTTTCTGACATAAGAATTACATTGGCAGCATTGAAAACCCCGTTATGTGAGATGTGTTCCATTTGATTTCAGTTTAGTACTAAAACCAACATTTTTAAATGTTAAGATATTTGGCAAGGGTAAGGTTTTATATCTCTCTATAAACCAATACTGATATATCCTTTACTGTTGACTACACTTGCTTTTTATTTGGCAACCAAAAATATGTATTCTTTAGAAAATTATAAAAGGCAAAATAAAAACTGGGGTAAATGCTTGTTCACTATAAGATTTTCTACTAAGACTTTTTTGTGAAATATAAATAAAATAAATTTACTAAACAGCAAGTGTTGGATCAAATAACATTAAAATATTTATTGTCTTCTTTATGAAATAGTTGATCCAACGTCAAGTTTTACTTAATTTCATGGGGCTTACCCTGGGACAAATGGAGAACCTGAAACCACATATGATCCTTGAATATTCATACACTTCCCTCTTTTCTGAAAATTAACCATCAATTGTAATGCACAAACTTTTTAAAGAACACATTTTATTTACTGTCAATTATGTGGCATACATTAAAAAATCTATTATTCTATTTTTCTTTATTTGAAAAAGAAAATACTTCACAAATGTTGAAATTGATTTTAAAAATCCTAATTCAATTATTAACTATATTTCTTACAGTTCTTCTCAATACCACTTTGGACATAGTCAGTATTCACTAACTTATGCTGTCGAAACAATAAATGGAATGAAAAATTGCGTATCTTTCAGAAGTGTCCCCAGAGTACATATTAATTCTGTTCCTTTATGTGATGAAACTAATTTGTTGCCCACATCGTATTATCTTAGCTATGAAACAGTATGAAGTATCTTCTCATGTCTGCTATTTGTGAAATAAAATGTTAGCTATAGAACTGATTACTTATCTAAGCTTAAAGTTCCTTTCTGTGAAATGTGTGGTGGTGTGTGTGGGTGTGTGTAGTAGCAGGAGGTGGGGGAAGTAGCAATTTTGGTACCAACTTTACATGTTCGTTAAGAGGATTAAATGAGATAATGTATAAAGAGCGCTTACAACTTATAGCACAATGCCTGCACATATTTTTTAAATCTCCTTACAAAGATTAGTCAGAGAGAGAGAGAAAGAGAGAGAGAGAAGCTCAATTGTTTTAGAATGGGCAGTTTAATACATTTGAGTTACCTTACTGTGGTTAAGGATCAATATAATGCCTAATGTGGTTCATCAACTTTCATTCTTCTCTGGTCCATTTTTTCCAGTTTTACCAGCCGTCAGCCTTTCAAGGTACAGTCCATTCTTACCTCTTCGTCTCATAACCATACCAATTGGAAGAGTAATTGCTTTTTGAACTCATATTCCTTTATATTCTCTGGTTTATACTTCTATCATGCATTGCAATGACTCTTGCTAATACCCCTTACTCCAAACTGCTACATCACAATCAAAAAAGCATATCTGAATTCAAATGAGGTGACATTATCATTTAGAAAACTTTGAATATATATATATATATATATATATATATATATATATATATATATAGCCTGGAATGTATTTGACTCTCAAATGTGGATTGAATCAAAATGAAAGTTTTGCTGAATAACTGAGTTAATGAAATAATTACATACGGTATGAAAATGTAGTAAGTGCTAATCATTAATATTTTACTAAGAAATAAATAGTGATGAACAAATTTCTCCATTATTTAGCTATAGTACTTACTGGCTTAAACATAACTTTTCTTTTTTTTTTCTCCCTTGATTGTATGTCAAATGATACAGAGGTTCTAATCCAAAATCACAGATGTTATCAGGCTGATACATATCCTGAAGAGACAGCAAAGGCTTACATAGTTACCTGGACAACCTCATGACCCAGGCAACTGAAGGAAAAAGGCCTGGAATAGTAGGCAGTTTTCATGACCTCGTTTTAATGGTATGGGCCATGTAGGTTGTAATTCCTTTATGACATGCTGCAGAGGTTGTTAAATTTTTTGAAAACTACACCTGTGTTTCAGGTGCTTGGTGAGCTTAACAGTTGTAATTGTTTATATCTATTTGCTGTATTGTCAACCTCTTGCTTATAACTTAAAGGCACTTCTCCATTAAAGTACTCAGGATGTCAAGGGCTCATTTTCCATCTCCTCTACTCTATCAGAAGTTTCCAACAGGGGAGAGCCCTATCTTATTCACCTTTCTTAACAGCCTGTCATTCAGCCTGTTTCTTAGAAGATGGAAGGAGATCAATAAAATGTGTTAAATAAGTAAGTAAATGAGGACATCACTAGTGTGTTTGTCCTTTCCTACTCAGCTGTCAGGAGATTCCACGACCTCCTTCTTCTGCATCTTGTCTACCATTATTGACAAGTACTATTTCTTGCTGGAAGATTAAGAAAAATATTGGGCTTTTTGCCTTATTTTTAATGTGGATTATAGGCAACAACTACTACAGTTTGACAATTACTACACTAGATTGACTTTCCTTGGACATATTATCATTAACCTAGGCCCTGGGAAGTAGTGGAAAACATACAACTGAGCTAGTAAAGAATATTCAGAAGAAGCGTGGTGCAAATGCCCCCAGCCCTGTTCCTTCTTCCAAATAGGTCTGAAAAGTTTTGAAATTCATAGAAAGATTAAGGACAGGTATAAACTGTCCAAAGTTTGCAAAACTTTGTCACCCAAAAGTAACTATTAACAGAATTAAAAGCACATCATATTAAGTAGCCAGGACTTAAAGACCTATTTATAGTATCAGTTTGGTGGAAAAAATCCATCCCAAGCTTTAATCTTCAATAAACAGCTCTAAAATCAGCACGCAACCTGATATGAAGCCAACTGTATGTCTTTAAATTAGGTGTCATATTTATCCTGAATTACCTTTTAAAATGTGGGTTCTTTGAAACTACAGTTCAAATTTGAGCTTCTAAGAAACTTACCAAGAAGGAAACACTTGTTCCCTTGATTTTCCTTAAAAAAAATAAATAAATAAAAATAAAAAAAAATAAAAGAGTTGAAAATGATGGAGCTTATTAAATCTGAAACCAAGCTTTTAACAAGTTACTACCAACCTTCAAAGCATTCTTTGGAATGTGCAGTTTCTTTTTGGACATGGTGGTTATTATTGACCTAAAGTAGTGTTTTCTTAATCCACCATCCATCATTACCTTCTTCTTGACACTTATGTTAGTGTACCCGAATATTCCTTTGAGATTTGATGAGGGATTTTAAAAGTGTATGGTCAACACTGGAAATATATATAGTTTTCTCTTTAGGGAATAGAGATAGTGGACTTTGAAATATGTAAGTGACAAGCTCTTAACGTTTTAGAAATATGTGGCTGTCATTAAATACTAGTATTAAGTAAATCATACTTTAAGTAATATACAAATTTATTTTTACTAAAACTTCAAACTTAGAGTTATGTAGGATAATGTAAATGAGAGAATTAATTAGGTAAAACTTAAACAGCTGGCACATGAACTGTACTTAATGAAGCATTGACTTAAAAAAAATCACAGAATGAACTTAAAGGGAGTCATTTCCTTAATTCATTTGTATAGTGTTTCCTTTGTTGAAATAAAGGCACAAAATTACTAAGGCACTATTCAAATATTAAATAAGCAAAACCATTACAATTTTATTCCAAACATTTGAGTAACCCTTGTGATGGGTCAGTTCCCTGCTCCGTACTCAGATATCAGCCTGTGCCATGCCCCACTTAGGTTATGCATAGTTCTTTATTCAAAGTGTTTTTAGGAGTTGGTGTTCATTACAATATTTATATACGGTAGAATCAGCCTCCCAAGGGACTTACAATTACTTTTTTAATGCAATCTGCTACTTAGCAAAGGATTATTTTCCAAGTTTAGTAACTTTTTTCCCATTAAGAATATTTATCTTTCAACAAATTAGCTATGGGGTGTTGGCTTTGGTAGTGTTGCAGAAAAGATCAAATTGTTTCCTGCCGACCAGGCAGCCATCCTAAAGTAACAACTTGGACCAGCCTGATTCAGGCAGCACTTTGTTAAGTGTTATGAATTCTCTTATTTTAAGCATATTCCAGGCAACTTAATTGTTTACATTTATATTTGTATTATTATTAAACTTACCATTTAAATTACAAGTCATACTTCATAGAATTTTAGAATTGGGAAGGACCTCCAAAATGCATATACTCATCTCCTTATAATTTTTAATTCTTATTAATAAAAACCATAATATATGATTGCTCAGAATCTCAATCATCTAAAACTATATGGGTATAGTCCATTGCAAATGCGATAATTTGCCCTGGATAATTAAATTGACTTTGTGTTCATAATTTTTTTCTTTTCTTTTTAAATCTAGACTATGTTCTACATTATTGAAATACATCAGACCACTGTAATGGACAAACACCACAGCAATTTTGAAATTCATATTAAAGATATCTAAATAATGATACTCAAATAATAATGTTATCAAAATATAATCATTAAGTAGAAAGTTATATATCAGAAGCCCTCTTTTGTATATAATTTTTAATCATTCATTTTCTTCACAATATTTTGAGAACAGGGATTTGGGGTTTCTTTTGTTTACCATGTTGTGTTTTTGTTTTTTTTTTTTTTTTTTGAGATAGAGTCTCGCTCTGTCGCCCAGGCTGGAGTGTAGTGGCACGATCTCGGCTCCCTGCAAGCTCCGCCTCCCGGGTTCACGCCATTCTCCTGCCTCAGCCTCCCGAGTAGCTGGGACTACAGGCGCCTGCCACCACGCCAGGCTAATTTTTTTGTATTTTTAGTAGAGACGGGGTTTCACTGTATTAGCCAGGATGGTCTAGATCTCCTGACCTCGTGATCCACTGGCCTCGGCCTCCCAAAGTGCTGGGATTACAGGCGTGAGCCACCGCGCTCGGCCTTGTTTACCATCTTAAGCACAGTGCCTTTGACAGTGCCTGGCTCACAGTAAGCGTTCCTAAATATGTTATTTGTATTTTCAGTGGCTTCAAGATACAACCCAGCTTAATAAACTATTCAACTTGTTTTTAATAAGCTAGAATAATAAATGAAAAATCTTGAGCAGCTTCAGATAAGAATAATCTTAAAATAAAGTTGGAAGTGGGGAAGATAATTAACAATTACTAAAAATTTACTTTGTGTTAAATATCATCTTAGAAATATCCTCCCCTTACTTAGTATGCTCATTTTTTTTTACCATAAAAGAGTTAATATAACCTCATTACACTTCTCTAAACTTAATATGCTCATTTTTTACCATAAAAGAGTTAATAAAACCTCATTACACTTCTCTAAACTTAGAGAAGTGATGTGCTCAAAGAAATGCCAGGATTTAAACATTCTAGGTTTTCTAATTCTAAATGTATATTTCTTTTTACTATAATTCAAACTATGCTGGCATTAGAGTTATATTTGCACTGAATGTTAAAAATTTATTTCAATTTGTTCTCCACTTAATATTAATTTATACTGAAATTGGTAGTTTACACAGTATTTTGCTATAGAGTAGTTTATTTGGTCTTAATGATTAGTTGTGGCAGACACTGTTGATGTCCCACCTAAAACTACTTGGACATCACAGTTCTTGAAAGTTTCACTGTAGGATCTGTAGCTCTATCCCTGAGGGTTTTCTTTGGCTACCAGAACCACGTAATCGGTATATATAGGACAGGGCAGAAGAGGCAGGATGGTAATGTCCCTGGAAATAGCTCTCAAGCAGTAACTAATAGGAATTAGTAGATAACTAGTCCAGTTTCCTATCTGTGAGCAATACAGCAGCTCTGCACATGTTCTACAGGGTTTCCTAGAGTTCCTCAACTGCCCACAGCAGTCATCTGCTCCATAATACAGCCTTTATTGACTCATTCCCTTTCCTTTCTCACCTCCTATTCCAAACCAGTGCTTCCTGGGATTATCTCTGAAATTAGCTTTCATTTAAATGCTTACCTCTAGTTTAGAATACAACCTCCCCTACAAATGAGGAGAGACGAGGTAAGGTTAAGAGATTATTTATCCTTACTCATTAATGGGGAATCAACTATCAAGTTTAACCTGTGTTTTTTGTCTCTACATGCATCTTACTTTCTGTGGCAATTTTCCAGTTTATTTTCTGGGCCTTCCTAGTATGGGTGGGGGTGGTGGAGATCGGCTCTCTGTTACTGCAGCTGTGTAATAGCTTCTTCCTCTATTCCACATGCACAAAAGCAGAGAGGCCAAATCAGTGGTGTTGGTCTCAGCTTGGGACAAATGTACATTCCATGTGGACTTTATGTTCCACTTGAATTAAAGCAGTTTGGTTACAGATAATATCAGTTTGGGGATTTTAAATTTAGACTTTAAACAAAGCAGAATTTTTCTGATTAGCATGCTAAAACTATACTCACTTGTAATAAACAATTACTAAGGGTAAAATATACAAATTGTGAATTGTATTTTAAGCAAAATATCTCACTCATTCAAAAGCACATTGTGGGTCTAAAGGGATTAGGTTTATGCCAGTCATTGTTTTGTCTCCATTTTTGCTCCATGGCCCTCTGTTTGCAATGGCTGCAGTTCCCTCTTTCTGTCTGCACTAACAGAAGACACCTTTTGACTCTCCCCTCACGTAACGCAATATCAACTTCACAATCATGATTATTCCTAGACATGATGCTTTGGTTTTGCTGCTTCTTTTCAAAGTTTTAGTCTTCTACCTGTGTGTGTGTGTGTGTGTGTGTGTGTGTGTGTGTGTGTGTGTGTGTGCTCCCTCAATTTATCTCACCTGCTCTTTGGGCTTTTTTATATTCTTTATACTCCACGAAGTGGGTTACCTTGGCCTGCTGCTTCCTCTACTGAACATCCAATTGAATCATGTGATCCCTCTCTCAAAACATCACCAACATCCAAAATCAGGCTGTACTCATGATTTTAATTTTTTAATTTTTTATTTATTTATTTATTTTTATTTTTTATTTTATGAGTGGAGTCTTGCTCTGTTGCACAGGCTGGAGTGCAGTGCTGCGATCTTGGCTCACTGCAACCTCGGCCCCCTGGGTTCACGTGATTCTCCTGCCTCAGCCTCCCAAGTAGCTGGGATTACAGGCACCTGCCACCACAACTGGCTTATTTATTTATTTATTTATTTATTTATTTATTTATTTATTTATTGAGATGGAGTCCCCCTCTGTCGCCCAGGCTGGAGTGCAGTGGTGCAATCTCAGCTCACTGCAAGCTCCACCTCCCGGGTTCACGCCATTCTCCTGCCTCAGCCTCCCGAGTAGCTGAGACTACAGGCACTCGCCACCACGCTGGCTAATTTTTTGTATTTTTAGTTGAGACAGGGTTTTGCCATGTTGGCCAGGCTGGTCTTGAACTTTTGACCTAAGCCTCTCAAAGTGCTGGGATTACAGGCATGAGCCACCGTGCCCAGCCAACTTTTCAATTTTTCATGTTTAATTTTTGTGTACACTCTCTCTCTCTCTCTCTATATATATATGGTGCATGAGATGTTTTGATACATGCATGCAATGCATAAAAAACACATCTTGGGAAAGGGGGTCTCCATCCTCTCAGGCATTTATCCTTTGTGTTAATTTGAAGGGTTTTTTGTTTGTTTGTTTCTGTCTCTAATTTGTTTATTCCAGTATCCAGCTTGCTCTCTAATCATATCCCTCAGGATTCATGTTGATCATTGTACTTATCATTAGTTGACATTAAATTGTTTATTCACCAATTTATTTATTTTTTCTTTCCTCCTGTATGTGAATCTAAGTTCCAAGAGAGCAGGAATGAGATGAGATGTTTTGTTTATTGTTTTCGATTATATCCTGAGGTCTTGGCACATGTTCTGCCTCAAAGTAAATACTTGAATATTATTTGAACAAAAATGCCTCTTGCTTGGGAAAAATTAAATAAAATTTTAATTTTAACATTTAAATATTAATATTAATATATTTAATTTTAATATTAAAAATCTTCTTCTTAGAAAATATTACCCTTTGTATTTGAGCATTAAAATACTGACTTCCTAGGCTGAGGTGGCAGATCTCTTGAGCTCAGGAGTTTGAGACCAGCCTGGGCAACATACTGAAACCCTGTCTCTACAAAAAATACAAAAGTTAGCAAGCATGGTGTCGCATGCCTGTAGTCCCAACTACTTGGGAGGCTGAGGAGGGAGGATCACTTGAGCCCCAGAAGCAGAGGTTGCAGTGAGCCATGATTGCTCCATTGCACTCCAGCACAGAGTTGGAGTGCTCTACACAGAGTGAGACTCTGTCTTAAAAACAACAAAAACAAAACAAAAAGAAAAATGAATTAAAAAAAAGAAAGCCAGTGACTAAGAGGACAAAGCAAGATCTGATCAATTGCAGCTCACTATAGATAACTGTTAAAATTTACTTTTTATAATGTGAAATTATTTTTGCAAAGAATGAACAGAAAAGATTCTTATTTTACAAGGTGATTCCCTGGTTTTACCAAGAAGACAAGGGTTTATGAAAGCATTCCACAGAAACAGAGCTATGTTTTTTTTTTCCGATGCACATTTATCTGCAGTTAATATAACTAATAAATTGAACAAGCGTAATCTTGCATATGTTATTATAAAGCAGTGTATTTTTTATAAGTATTTGAACATTGCTCAGTGGCTATTTATCCCTTGCACCTAAATGAAGACAGAAACAAAACTAAAATAGCTCATGATTTCTCTAATCACTATTAAGTTTAAAAAAGTATTTTAATCAATTTCAGTTCCAAGATATGGTTTCATTTCAGGATTAGAATGTTCACTTGCATGTGATCTCAAACTATCCAACTATTTTAAGTTACAATTACTTTCTCTTGTTTAGAGTCTATTTCTGTCTAGATACCTGTTGCAGAGAAGGGAACAAGGTCTGCTTCTTTCTCAATTATCTTGTTCCCCATCTCCTATGGGTTTTAACCTCCTCAGAGTTTGAGGACAGTTTGGAGAGGAAAGCGGTGGAGAGTAGGAAAGATCTCACCTGACTTATACTGTCATATATTGACTGCACATTGACTCTAATGGGGCATGTTCATGGGCTCTTTGGAGAAAGCCCTTCTACCATTACTCACAGCTGGGCCACTCTCCTGTAGTTACCCTGATGGAAGTGATACACTCTCCCCTAGCTTTTTACTGATTCCTTTCAAAGTTCCAAGTAACCTTCAGTGCCCTTTGCTGAGTCCTGCTCACTCTTCAGTCTAAGACAGCTCCACTGGCTCTCTCTCGCACCTAACTTGCATCTGGTTTGTGGATAACTTTCAGGCATCATTTCACCGGACTAAGGACAGTCCTAAGGAGGCAACCACTCCTTTCTTCGTTCATCAGCAGCTAACCAGTCCATCCCTTGCTTTTTATATTAATCGAGGGAGAGTCTGATATCAGCCTCTTTCACTAGACTTGAGGTACAGAGAAGCTTTGGGTAAGTTTAAGTTTGAGATTCATAGCAAAGCCATCTGCAAAGGCACCCACGATTTCCTATATTTTCTTGCTCACTTTTTAAAGCTCTCAATGTGAGATGTTTTGAGTATTGTAACTAGTATTTGTACAATCACATTTTTCACAACTTTTATATTAATAACCTGTTACACACACATAAAAAATGCTCTATTTCTTCTTTGTCTTGTATTCTCATAGTAAAAGCATATTAAAATATAATGGCTGCATAACAAACCAAATAATCGTTTACTAAAAATGTGTCTAGTGCATTCAAATAAAGCACGTGATCTTGAGTTTGGTTATTAACACAGAGGCCCAATTCTGTGTTTCCATAATGGACTATAACACTAGCTAATGTTTACTGAGATTTTCTTAAGTGCCTGACACCTTGCTAACTGTTTATATAAATTATGATTTGAGGAGAATCAATAAATAACATTTATAGAGTGATTTTGTATACCAAGCACTCTTCTTAGTACTTTATGTGTATTAACTAATTTAAACCTAACAACAAACCCATGAAGTAGGTGTTACTATTACCATCCCAATTTTAGAGACAAGGGAATGAAGGCACCAATATTTAAGCAATTTGTGTAAAAATACATAGCTATGAAAGGTCATCTTTCCTATACTTTACAGTACAATTTAGGACTCAAAATATCTTATTAAAATATCTGTTTGTGTCAGTTCTACTCTCAAGGTTATCAGTTTCTCAAAGGAACCCACCAAGTGCTATTTAATCTTCTAGTCCAAGTACTTAGTTCACAATAGAGATTATTTTTTTCTCTTGCAGTTGAATAATACTTTCAGTCTTGGGCTTTCTAATTTAAATATTTTCAAAAGTATTCTTAATTACATAAAATTAAGAAAATAATCATTAGATATCCTTCCAAATTTTTGGTCGAACAAGTTATAAACCAAAAATATAAAAGAAATTACAAGTATTCTAGTTGTTTTATACTAATAAATTACTCCTCTCTAAACAATTGTCAGTGATGAATATTTTTTTAGATCCTTACAGATTCCATTTTAAGCAAAATAATAAAGACTTCATCTTCACAGTTCTTGCTCCGTCTTTACTTTTGAGCAAAATTGGGATCTGTCTTTTCTAAGATGTATACATTGTCCAGATCCCTGGGCTTCTTGGTATTCTCAATAAAACTGCAGTTCTTTAAGGAATAACTATTGAATTCCATATTTTTTTCTGATACTAATCATAACTACACGAGGAAACAAGAAATTTAATTTGTGCTCCTTCTATTACTCTACTCTCAAATTAAAGGTGTTACATTTCTATGAGAAATTTACTTCTTATTAAAAGCCATTAGTCTACAAAAGAGTTTTACATTCAGAACCTCAAATTGGAATTATTAAATTATTTTATATAAGTCCTATAATTATGGTAGAATGCCTTAATAAATTACTTGGCTTTGAGAATGTAAGAGGATTGAAAGGTAAAATATACTAACTCTACTTTGAACATTAATTGGATTTGGGGCTCTAGCTTTAACATATTATTTGGTAGCTAATGTTAAAACCTTTCTCACCACCCCACCTCCCCATTCTGTCCTCCCAAGCAAGAAAACACAATGTTCATGTTTGTATAATTATACAGATGTCTATTTATGCTTATAAATAACTGATGTTAGAAAAATAATTCTATAGTCACATATTCTCAAGTTTTAATCATAAGAAACATTGACTGAAGAGAGTCCATCTAACATCAGAAGCATATATAAAGGAGAGAGTTGTTTTTCCTTCTAAGGAACTAAACTTTGTTTACATGTATAAATGTTCTAGATTTCTTAAATAATGTAATAATCTTAGTTATAATTGCCACAAAAACTACATTCAATTTTTAAGCTTATGTGTATAGGAGTTTATACATTAAGCCTGGTAATAGGAGCTCAGATTTTTTAAAAAAACACAAAACTTGTAATGTTATAGAATGTAGAGTATTAGATTTGAAAGTGATCATAGGGATCATTAGTGAAATATCTCATGTTTCAAATAGGAAAATGAAAATCCATCATAGTATATCTTTATAAGGTGTCACACTCATTAATAACAAACTGAGACTGGATTACAAACATCACTGTTTTGCGTGAAAATTAGAATAGATAACCAGTGCTCAATAAATGTTCTTTCAGTCAACTAATCTATCAAGTTCTAGTACTCATTTTTAAATGCTAAATTTGCAAATTACGATGAAGACAGACAAAAATATTTTTCTCCAAGAAGAAAGAACTACACATAAATGTTCTTGTGAAATGGGAACTTCTTTGGTTTAAATGGAAAACATGCCTGACAAAAGTGATAATAGACCAAAGAAAATTGAGTTTTCCAGTGGTGTAATTCTAGGATTAAATAGAAAAGAGCAATTCATTAGCTTAAATTTAGCCAAATTGGGACCAGAATTGGCAATTTCCTCTGCCCTATTATTTTGAGGGGAACATCAAGATTCTATTTTGCCTGAAATATTCCCCATAAGCCTTTGTATTTCCTGAAGCTAATTTTTGTCATCACTTTTAAAGAATTAAGCCATTGCTAACAAGGAGTTAGCAAATCACATCATTGACTAAAATTCTTATCACCACCACCAGGAGCAAAGGAGGGAATAAGACTACAGTTTGTTGATGAAGTCAGAAGTACGAACTCATATTCAGGTCCCTTGTAGCACCAGGATGGGAAGCTATGAGTAGCAGACACATTGGTTTCTAGAAGAAAGCGCAGGAAACCACCGAAAAGGGGAATAGAGGAATGCAAAAGAAAAAAAGTTGCCTAAGATAAAATTGCACTGAGTCAATTCGTAACAACATCAATAGGAGGTATGTGGTGATGTAACTTCGGATGTACACAGGTTTAAATGAGATCTTATAATCTTTCATTGTACATTTTACTTTTCTTCCACAGTGCTTGCCAAGGCTTATAATGATATATTGTAAATGTGATAATTTAACTCTTGCCACTCCGAAGTTTCTCTCTCTCTCGCTCTCGCTCTCTCTCTCTCTCACACACACACAGACACACACACACACACACACCCTACATACCCATACACACAAATGCATGATTTATTATGGGTATTGAGGGCAAAGGATGTATTTCTTTACTACTTTGTCACCAACGTCTAACTTGGGGCTTGACACACAGAAGTTGCTAAATAAATATTTGTTAAATGAACATATGTGAAGGAATAAAAAAACAGATAGAGATAGTTCCATATTGTCTTTAAGAGAGTTGTTTGATGTTATCTAATGTCACTTAAATTATTTAAGTCTGACTAGAAAAATCAAGCAGCCATTATGGAAGGAATGGAGCAAGAGCCAAGCTATAACAAACTTTATACCCACTGGTAAATGCCACAGACTTAAATGTCAACAGTTGCCAAGGGCTGAGGTAGTTTGTGATGGTTTGGGTAAGTTTAACTATGTAAAACCATAAGATATTTTAAGTAATTATTGCTTAGGAGATTCTATGGCTTTTATGAAAACAAGGTTCTGTAAAATATAGAAGTGATTTTTAGTCATTTTTAGTATTATCGTGTGAGCAGTAAGCAGTGGCCACTGGATCAAAATCCAGAACCACAGAGGTGTTGGCTTGACTGCTGAGGGCTACACCATGCTTTCTTTCACGTGCTCTTCATTATATGTGTATATATGTTGAAAGCCAGCAATATGTGGAAAAGAAACTTCTGCTCAATGATTATTTACTTTGGGTTAAAAATGAATACCGCAGCCGGATTCTTTTTCCAATTTTTTTTTTCTCATTTTGACCACTGCCTCGGAGAATAAAGACCTTGGATTGTTAAAGAATGTTGAAGAAATTTAAATTTGACCTCTCTCTACTTTGAAAGGCCAGAGAATTTCCCTTACTTCCCTTTCCTTCCTTCCTCCCCATTTATCCCCTCATTTTAGGAACTCTTTTACCTATGACAGGATCATGTTTTATTTCTGGAGAAGGGACATCCTTAGGTTTCACGCCATCCATGACCAAACACATTCTCTCATGTCCTCTGTCACTGTACCGGTGGAAGCATAATTCACTTTGTAACTCAAATTAGAATTCTACAAAAGCAAGTGCAGGAATGGCTGGCACACTGAATAAACCTTAGGCAAATTTAAGCTTTGACTTCTAGGCTCCATGATCTAAAGTTACCATCCTCATTAATGGAGTGATTATTTTTTCACCAAAACACATGTTTTACATCCATTGAAACATTATTTCTCCTTAGGAAGCTCAGAAAGCCAGCCTGCTTAAATCTGTGTTAAATGGCCTCAGCTGACAAACGCTTTGAAACTTAAAAGTCTCCAGATATTTTCAGTGTCTCTAAGACTAAAAATCCTCTATTATTGACTTATTCATAAATTGATTTTAATATCAGAAATAAAAATCATATCGATAATAAGTGTAAATTGAGATTTTTACTTTAAGGCAATCTTCTGTTTTTTATAAAAGAGTTTTTTTTCTTTTCCAGGCTGTTCAAGGATAGGAAAATAATTACAATTTGAAACAGAAGCTACAATTACTCTTCAGTAAATATCTGAGCAACCGGTAGTTCTATTTTATTACAATCTAAAAAGGAGCCAAGTTATGTTTCAGGATTTCTGTCACTTTTAATGTCCTTTGAAAAAATAGACAGTGAGCTATTCCAGCCATCCTCTTAATATGTTCCAGTGCTAGAAATTATTGTCTAGTATGTAAAACTATTCAGTATGTTTAATTTAATTATGCTTCTGTAGTTGAAGATTTTGAATCCTTCTGCATCGGTAAATGATTTCCACCAACATGACTCCATTTGTTTTCATAAGCACTTATTGATACCAGATACTTTCCATCATAAAATGCTTAGGTTATAATTAAATTTCCCAATGGCTATGAAATAATGATAAATGACAGTTTTTGAAATTAAAGTTTAAAACATATCTGAAGAGTATATATATATATATATATATATATATATGAAGGAATACAAATATGATGAGCCATATGATTTCTATCTGTCGATAAACCACCTCTCAATCACTTAGTAGCTCTTAGCATGGGAGTACACATATGTAAATTACAAAATAATTTAATGTCAATCACAGATTTAGTTTGAGGGCTTAGCTATATATTTATAAATAGCAATATAGGCCAGATCATATATATATTAGTATGTTAGACACTCATAGAATCAGAATAGAATTTGTCAATTATTTCAGTCACCAAAAGATCCTGAGAAACAGAATAGAAACCCCTATTTTTTTTTTCTCATGGTCTATTGTATTTCTTTATTTTAAATGCAGTATTATGGATAGTTGAGCTCCTAATAATATTTGACATTTATAAATTTTGTGTCGAAGGCTATGAAGAAAATAAATAAAATCAAAATTTATGTAGTGTTCTAAAAGTGCTATTACTACTCAAAAGGTAAGGTAAATTTCTCTTCAACTATCATTCCCCTTTTGTGAATTATTGTAATTAGAGTGTCTTAGTCCATTTGGGCTGCCGTAACAGAATAGCATAAATTGGGTGCCTTAAACATCAGACATTTATTTCTCACAGTTCTGGAGGTTGGAAGCATGAAGTCAGGGTTCCAGCATGATTTGACTCTTGCAGAAGGAGCTCTTTCTGTTTCGTGGATGGCTGTTCTCTCATTGTACCCTCACATGTTGGATAGCAGAAAAAGGGAGAGCAAGCTCTCTTGCATGTGCCCTTCTAAGGGCAATAATCCCACTCCTAAGGGTTTCACACTCATGACCTAATTACCCCCCAAAAGATTCCATCTCCATATACCATCACACTTGGAAACAGGCTTCAACATATGAATTTCAAGATGACACAATCAGTTCATAGCAGAGAGTTCTCTTCTTTGTGCCTATTTGACAGATGGAGTAAGTCTGGTCCTTGTATTTGCATATTGTATAAATTGTGACTCACTATACATGGAGATCATTAAAATAAGAAGACAATAGGGATCACAAAAAGTTAAGATCTGAAATATTGACAGCACACACAAAAAAGTAGAAGTGTATACCACACCGTTTTTTAAAGACTGAAGGAAGATGACAAAAAGTAAATCTTGCTTAGATTTGCAAATTTGTGACATTTGTGAGACAGACATATGTAGGTGGATATGGTGGAAGGTGCAAAGAAGGGAAGCAGGAACTTATACATCTGATTCATAAAATCAGAAAGCCATTGAATTTATTGATAGACATTAAGCCATGGAATAAAATATGTGTTTACTTTGACAAAAATATGAGACTATATGTAGCTTGTCAAAATTGTAGAACAGGTGAATTTTAAAATTTTATTTTGAATAAAAGTGATACATTGAAATTGAATATTTTAATATAAGTTGAGTAAAATGTAATTTATCCTTATTCTTTTTTATTTTAGTTATTATTTTTAGTTCTGGGGTACCTGTGGAGGATGTGCAGGTTTGTTACATAGGTAAACATGTGCCATGGAGGTTTGCTGCACCTATCAACCCATCACCTAAGTATTAAGCCCTGTATGCATTAGCTATTTTTCCTAATGCTTTCCCTCCCCCAGCCCTACCCACTGACAGGCCCCAGTGTGTGTTGTTCCCCTCCCTGTGTCCAGGATAAATAAAATGTTGTATATATACACCATGGAATATTATGTAGACTTAAAAGGATTTGAGATCATGTCATTTGCAGGGACGTGGATGAAACTGGAAGCCATTATCCTCAGCAAACTGACACAGGAACAGAAAACCAAACACTGCTTGTTCTCACTTATTCAGACTTTAATTTTGTATGCTAGTGCTCTTGTTTTGTCTTAAAGCATTTATAGAATTTTTAGTGGGTAGTAATGTTTGGACAAATCATATTGTGACATATTTATAAAGTTGATAAAGATGTAAGATTTAGCAATTCTAGTCAATCTTTTCAAAGGTGATTTTTCTTACCTTGAATTTTGTAGGAACCCCTTGCAATTGGGAGATATTTGTTTAATTATCCTTTCACTTTCCTGCCAGCAATTTATATTCCAAGAATAAATGGAATGTGGATGCATATTATATTATCTACTTATCTACTTTTTTTGTGGTAGGCATCATGTTAAACACATGGGGTATTAGATAACATCAAGCTTAAAAGAACAGTAGGCATTATGAGAAAGGTCAGTAGTCTTAAACCTGATTTATGAATATACATCTCTAACATGTATAGCCTACTAATTTACATTTCCCCCAAATCAACAAAATACCATAGTGAATGCTACGTGTGACAGTCGTTCTGATGATAGCATGGAGATGCTTTATATGAAAAATAATCCAAACCATATATAAAGGAAGCAAAAGTTAATTGTTATAAATGTGGCAAATATGTGAAACTCTGAAATTTTACTGTGAGCTTTTTAGGGGTTCTTGTAAACCAGATTTTAAGGACCATTTTCTTCTGTCTTCTCCTTCCTATAAGTCTTAGAGTCATTAGACTAGAGAGTGACAAAAAACCTAAAAATATGTGATCTAATTTCTTCATGTTGCATATTTAGAAACTTCAGAAGTAATACAGCTTATATGTTGAAAGTACATTTAAATTCCCCTTAAAAATATCAAAGGAAATATCTCACTTATGTGAGTTCTATATATGTAAGTTGACACGTGAGTTATCAGAGTCTCAATTGAAGTTTATTTTTCATGTGTAACTTAAGTAAGTCTGTGTCTCCCAAATGATCTGTGGAGCAGGTTCTTGGTTGTTGTTGCTGTTTTAACTTTTGTAAAACATGATAAAAATTAACTACTAGATAAATGATTAGGCAGATTTGGGGGTAATGTCTCATTGCTATAAACATTTACAGTATATAACTACCATTTTGGCTTATCTTGTGATAGATCAATAAAAGTTGGCGGGCCACATACCGTAATTTGTAAACCACTGACTTAAGAAAATAAAATTTTGAAGGGTGTTATGAAAAATAATTTTTAAAATCTGCTCCTGAAGCTTATAACACATGAAAATATTGGGGACTTTTGTCAAATACACTAACTGTGCAGGCATAATACCAATGCTACTATACTTTAATAAAAATTCATCAAATAATTAGTACTATTATTCCATTCTAAGCCTCAGCTTGTCCTTGTTAAATGGTCATAATAATTTTTCTAGACCCATAAGGATGTTTTGAGGTTTGAATGAGGTAATCTATATACAGTTGAGTGCTATGGGTAGGAATAGTTGCTATTATTTTTATTGCTGAATATTTGGTGTTTGTTTGCTTGTTGTTTGTTTGTTTGTTTTGGGACAGAGTCTTGCTGTGTCACCCAGGCTGGAGTGCATGAACTTGGCTCACTGCAATCTCTACTTCCTGGGTTCAAGCAATCCTCCTGCCTCAACCTCCCGAGTAGCTGGGATTACAGAGGCCTGCCACCACACCTGGCTAGTTCTTTTGCATTTTTAGTAGAGACTGTGTTGGCCAGGCTAGTCTTGGAATGCCTGGCTGCAAGTGATCTACCAGCTTTGGCCTCCCAAAGTGCTGGAATCACAGGCGTGAGCCACTGTGCCAACCTATTGTTGAATATTTGATTAGTGCTCTATTGCTTTCTATCTCATCTTCAATTTCGTTCTTAGTACTTTCTGAGAAGCATTAATATTGATATGTTTTTATTTGAAAAGCAGCATTTTAGCAAATGTTTAGTCAGTATTTGCTTCCATAGAGAATCCCAAATTCTCTATGTAATCCACATTTCCATCTACCACACACAATTGGTAAAGGTTCTTGAATTCTTGGGGCTCAGCTTTTGAAAGATTCAGTTGTGGGGATTGGATTTCACAGAGCATGAAGATAAGTGGCACTCTCTGTGATTTATTTTTTTCAGTTGAGTGTGTTGCAACACAATTATCAGAAATCCCTTGAGACTATGAGAATTCACTTTATGTCAAGGGCACAAGGAGTGATATTTAAGGTGAATTATTCAAATGTGACTGTGTGATTCTATAGTGCTGTGCTTCCCTAATGCTATGTTGTGCTTTAAATCAGTGCTTAAGAAACTCTTCTTCAGAAGAGCCGATTAAGACCATAGTTGCCACTTAAAGGGTCAGCAAGAATTGAATTCTGCCATAGGCTGTTCTATAGAAGATAATTTTGGATTAATCCAGTGATGAAGGTTAGCAAGTCATGGGAAACGTTTCTGTGAGTATCAAAGTTATTGTTGTAAGCCACTGCTGATGGAAAGACTGACCACTAAAAGCTCACTTAGTAACCATCCCCACTAACAGAGCTATCACCACTGACTGCTATCTGGATCCTGCCAGATAGCTGCAAATGCTAAGTGGAACTGGCAAGCAGTACTGCTAAAAATTCCCCTCTCATGTGCTCTTCCTTGTATGACAGTCCCTGTCCAATCTTACCTCATAGCCTGTAATCTCTGCTGAATTTCTCAGATATGGGACTTCAGAGTCTTCATTTCTATATCACCAGCGCTTAGCCTAGAGGCTAAAACATAGTAGAAGATAAACATTTAATAAGGAGAGAAGGAAGGAAGAAAGGTAAGAAGAAAGGAAGACAAGGAGAGAGGGAGGGAGAAAAATGAATTAAAAAGAGAGATAAATCAATAGATGGGAACCATCAATGAGATCAGAAAATTATCAATTGGGGTGAAACTGAATGTCAAAGAATCCTTTCCCTCTCACTATGAATTACCCTGTTTATGGAGAGTGGGCTGGAATATATATAGATTGTCAAAGATGATGGGTTGAGATGGAAGAAAAATAGTAATTGTTGACTTTTTAAATAAGTATCTCAATGAGAGGAAAAATAATGTTACTCACTAGTAAATCTCATGGTGTTGAAAGTCCAGAATTTCTGGAATAAATAATGAAAATGTAAATTGTAGTTTTTTCTTATATTCTTAGTAGATGGCTTTAAGTGGGAAGTATTAAAGAAACTTTCTTAAAAATTTGGAAAGAAAGCAAACACCAGGATCAGATACCTGGTATTAGTTACCTTTTTTTCATGTAGAAGAGAAATATGCTGGCACTAAGTTGTCAAGCCTATCTTAAAGGAAGAAAAAATTGAGGCTTATACTCTATAAATTTCAATGCGGACACAAAGTGTGGGAAGATCAAAGCGAAATCATACTTGTGAGAGAAACCAACAAAAATAAAAAGATGCAGTAAAACAGTGATAAATGAAGAATTTATTTCAAAGTTCAGCCAAGGTACATGTCATTCTGAGAGCCTGAAGGAACCAAAGTCTTCAATAATATTCTTAAGATACTTCAGAGCATTACAAAGTATGTACTTCACTAAAACGAACAAACCTTGACTTCATGATACTGATAGTGTTGTGATAACACACTTAAAGTCACTTTAAAGTATGTAGGAGAAAAAGCAACTTTTTAGGACTCTCAGCATGCCCAGACAGTCACTGGAGAAGTTGTAAAATTGTGTTGATTGGGATGTTGACTCACCTCCCAACTGATTTGATGTCCGATTGTGACCTAGGGCCATCTATCAGGAGAAAGCAAGACAGAGGTAATGAGTAATGCATCTAAGAGAAGGATGGAGCTTGTAAAATGTTCATTTTGTCGGAGAGTAAAGCTTGTGGGTGTCAAATGCGTTGGCTGAGAAAATATGGAATTCTGCTTTTTACCTTTAAAATATGGAGAGTGTCTTGGGACTCTATGATATATACATTTCCCAGTTTATGAGACAACTGTGATTGCTCATTAATCAAAATATGTGTACATAATCAAAAGAGCTATATGCCAGATTTTTATTCTTTTGGATTATATGAAGGTGGGGTTTTTTGCAAAGAACTAACCATGGCTCCCTAATTTTCCATTTAAAAATAAATTTAGTAGTCTCAGAGGCAGAAAATATTAATAAAATAACTATAGAAAGCTGTTACATTTCTTATGGTATAAATTTTTATAATTTCTATTACATTTCATACATTCAAGCAATATTTTAAAAAGCAGATGGTTTGGAGTAATAAACATATTTAACTTTAATTAAAATTTTTAATCCTCCATTTCACTTTCCTTTCTTATTTATTTATTTATTTATTTATTTATTTATTTATTTATTTATTTATTTTGAGATGGAGTCTCGCTCTGTTGCCCAGGCTGGAGTGCAGTGGTGCCATCTCGGCTCACTGCAAGCTCCGCCTCCCGGGTTCACGCCATTCTCCTGCCTCAGCCTCCCGAGTAGTTGGGACTACAGCCGCCCGCCACAATGCCCGGCTCATTTTTGTATTTTTAGTGGAGACGGGGTTTCACCGTGTGAGCCAGGATGGTCTCAATCTCCTGACCTCGTGATCTGCCCGCCTCAGCCTCCCAAAGTGCTGGCATTACAGGCGTGAGCTACCGCGCCGGGCCCACTTTCCCTTCTTTATGGTTTCTCCTTTCTCGCATGCATAGGTTCTTTCATCATACTATCCCACTATTACCATCTGTTTTCCAAAGAATTTATTTTTGTTATCTTTGCCTTCAGCCATGCATCTTTTGGGACCCAAGCAGCTTGGCCTGTATGTCTCATATCACCTAGTATGGCAGAGTACTTTCACATCTATTTAGTTCCTTTTCACACACACATTGTTAACTAAAGAGACATTTTTTTTCATAGGCCCTTGACAATTTTGACAAAAGTAAAATGTGTCCTTTTCATACTCTCCACACACTTACACTAATGGAATTGACTTTTTTTCAGCTCTCAATCTCTTCTTGAGACCTCAATGTAAGTGAAAATTTGAGATATCTTTCTGTATCTTTCTTTTTAGTACGTGACCTAGTTATATTCCATACTTTCTCCTCAAACTCCACCTGCCAATAATTTCAAAACTTCTTGATTTGAGCCTGTGCTCTTTTTCAGATTCATGAATTTCATGTTCTTCAATACCACACGGCCTGTACTACATCATCAGATCTTATCTCCCAGTGGAAGGGGAAGTAGTACATTTCTTCATGGAAAGGGACTAGTGACAAATAATAATCAACTTTCTCTGCAGTCTCTTGCTTTTGCATTCCTTGGCTTCTTTAAACTAGATTAATCCATTCACGTGTCCCGTATCAATCAGGTGGAGCCTAATCAAGCTCCAGTCCCTAGACAGTCCTGCTTTAAGTCAGGAATTGATTTCTATTTTCTGTGCCAAGCCAATTGAGAGCTAACATTTGTTGAATGCCATCGAATAGTCTGCACTGAGACTTAAAATACAATTCTTTTTTACTCTTTTATATTTGTTGAAGGAAAGGTAGGACTTACAGAGATTATTTAACTTGCCATGAAACACTATAGCTGGCATTTTTATACCTGTTGATTTAGATATAATACACCACAACACATGAGATCCGGTGCCCTACTTGTAGCAGATGAGTTACGCTATGACTCATTAGAACTGAAGCACAAACATTCATATTGTCACAAATTATATATCTCTCTCTTAATACCCTTGACTACCACGTTTGTGCAAGTCATAAAATTGAACTCCCACTTTATGCTAAACTCTTTAATTTTAGCTAGAAACTCTGCTTTCTGTAGTGCAGTGTTAGAGCTGAGGCTCAAATTTAGTAGTTGGGCAGCTCTATTTCCTAGCTGATCTTATCAGTCAACCATAAAACTCTATCCCACTATTCAAGTCTTATAGCCCAGGCTGGTGGCTGAGAACATGTTGCCTATGGATAAATGACAATTACATTTACCAGCCTGAGTATCAACTGTCACAGCAGTTCTGATCTTCTGTACCTTATCTATTTAATTGAATGTCCACATGGCCCCCTATCAGCCACTCCAGAGAATGCTTCTTTGGCCAGGGGAGCCCACTGATCTCTTTCATGGGACACAAACTTACACCAGAACCTGATTTCTCTTCTCTTTTTATGAGAATCCTTAAATCCCTCTTACTCTAATATTAAGCTACAGCTGTACTGGCTTAATGTAGTATCTGGGTAAATAAAATTATACTAGGGAGATTTTCAGTAATGACAATAGTTTACTGGGGTGTTCGTTTTGGGGCTGAGTCAGTTGCTATTAGTTAGTTACTGTTAGTCACACACATATTAGTATGGTCTGAATTTTGGTGCTACTATGAGTGATCTTAAAGATTACTTTTTTGCTCCTTTGTCCTTTTAAATTTGGAGACTAAATTGATGTCACCTGATACCTGGGAATGCTAGTGGCAAGTTGACAGAGAACTCTTTTCCTTGGACTTTTAATTTTCTTAAGGTCTTATAAATTGATTTTATAGTACCCTTATAGTACAATCAAATGACAGTTTTCTAGACAAATAATCTTATGATTTAGTGTTGAAAGTAATTTTTATAATTCACATTTATTCTATTATTATTTAGGATTTTGGTGAAGAATAAGAGTTCATTTATTTTTATGTATAAATGAATGAAATATAGAAATTATTTTTTAAAAAACTTGTAGAATAAACATTTTTATTAAAATAGCATTTCTTGTGAAAAGGAAAAATAACGGTCAGGTGTTTGTTGGTATTTTTCATATACAAATGTAAAGACAAATACTCCATAAAAATTGTTTTCCTAATTCTCAAACTAAGTTGTCTTTTTCCTTTGATGATGCACAGTCTATTACTTACATCTCTTACTTGAGACAATTAAAGGAACTCATCCACAAGTGCAGCTCTAGCTTGGTTAACTGCGTTTTTAGCATGTATACAGCCGCAGTGGCTTCCTTGCATGGTGCCTATAAATTTAGTTGTTTTTCTGCTAAAATGTATATTTCAAATATGTGCTCTTTAAAAGAAAAAAATTTGCTGTTTTATTTCTGCAGTTAAAAAATCAAAATGTACAGCACATGCAATATGAAAGTTAGGCTTATGAGATAACATTTCAAATTATGATGCCTTTTCCCATGGCAAATGCATAACATGCTTTCCAGGACTTTTTTTACTATTTAAACAAGATTCAAATGTGAGATTGTTTCTCTGTCCCCACCACCTTATTTTATTTGCTGCAATTATTTGTGTGTGATCAAAGTACTAGTACATAAAGCACATTCATTTTAAAAAATATACAAACAAGTATCTACTTAATTCAAAATGTACCCTGAACAAGATTAATTGAGAACATTTCAAACTCCAAAATTAAATGTAAGTCTTGGAAAGGAAAACTACAAATACATTAGAAAATATTTCAAATCCTCAGAGAATACTTGTATAATATTTGCACACAGAAAACGGGGAATTGGCTATATATCGTTTGAAAAGTCTTGATTTCACTCAAGGTCCTTACATCAGTCATGGAGATACATCATCTTAGAAAAGGATAACAACTGTAGTTTATGAATATTAAAGATGTTAAAAAATGATGAATTATAAGATTTTATTAAAATGAATATCACTCACGTTCACAGTAATTTAAAAAAAAATGTTGTTTTTCCCTAGGGAGAAAAAGTTTATGTATACATGCAAATACAACGTTATAAGAGCATATCTCAAGAAATGTATTTTAAGGTTTTCAATGGTCAACTCCTCTGGCACGAATTATACCCTCTAATGATGTGCACTTCCTATGACAGAAGCCTATGTTCCGAGTATCATCTCTCTGTAATAATGTACATATTAAGGAAAGTATATTTTATATAAAGCACAAGATGTATCAGTAGAGAAAAGCTATTTAAGTAATGTCTCTTGATAAAACTACTCATAGTTAAGATATAAACACACATGTCCTCTATCCAGAGATGTAGTTCCTACAATTCCATGATGTCATGAAGGCATCTTCTCATAGAGAAAATACCTCTCTCTGGAAGAACTTTTATGATTCACCCTGTCTTACATAGCAATTAATTTGTAAACGCTGAATTTATATCTCATTATTTTTTAATTTGGCTGTTGTTTTTTACCATTTGGGCTCTTTGCTCCAGAAAAGCCCCAATCCCATCATTGTCTTGATCCCCACATGACAGTTTGACTTTAATCTTAGATTTCCAGGCCACAGATCTCCTCAGGTTTGACAAAGATCATGCCAAAATTAGTCTATTTCACCAAGCAATACGCATAATACCACTGTCACTTTTTAATTCACCTTAATATTCCTTGACCCGGGCTCAGTAAAACAACAATTAAGAAAAACAAATGAAACACTCAAAGTAACTGATGAATCAGAAGCAATGCAATGAGGAAATACCATGATGAGTTTGAGGCTACAGGATTGGATTGTTTCTAGACTATCATTTCAATGTTTATTCATTTTATCAATGTTCTGGTGTTGGCTATACATAGAGGTAAAGTAAATACAATAACAGATTTTGCACTCAACAAGCTTATACTTTGGTAAAACAGACATCTAAACAGACAATGAGTGAATACAAGAAAACAAATAGATTTCAAGAGAAAGAATTTTTGAGTTCAGCATGAGACATGTTGAGATTTGAGTGCCTAGGAGACATTGCAACAAGTATTGTAATTCATAAATGTTGAACATTATGGATTAATACGATCAGAGATTCGTATAGTCATTCATATGTGTATTTAGCAGCTTAAATGATTGGAATGTACAAATAACTTAGTGAGGGTTTATAAAGTGAAAAAAAATGAGACTCAATGACAGACTCTAAATAATCTCAACATTTTATTGAGTTAAGATACCAACAGTGTCTTAACAATGTATCGATCAATTCATCTATTAATCAAACATGGTTATTTGCAGGTTTTTTTCTGTTCATATTCTTTGCAAGACAGTAATATATTCTCTTTTAGCAGTTCGCATTCCATTTAACCTTTTCAATTGGCAAAACTGAGGCAATTCAGAAGTTGAAAGATATTTCAGAAGTTACTCTCATAATGAAGGATAATTGAACTAAAATTCAGGAAAGACTTTTAATATATTATGACTTCTAACCTTCTTAATCTTATCATAATTGAAAAGACAGAGCTTGATTGACAAACATAAATGTAGAAAAAAATCAGCATAATACTTTAATGGCTAATATTTGCCACAGTTCTTATCAAAATCATATTACTAAAAATTATAAAAAGTTGATAAAATATTTGGCTTATTACAAAGTGAAAAAAAGTAAAGTTTTTGCTTTTTTTACTTGCTAATATTCACCACTCTTCTGGCCTGAACCCCATTTATCTCCATTGGCTTTACATGAAGACATGTGAAGTCTTACTCTGTCAATAACATCATCCTAACATTTTTTTCCTACTAAATTTATAGAAAATCAGTTCCTAAAGAAAATTAGAGGGATTACCTTTACGCCAGTGTAAAGCAATGTTATTTCAGGTGTTTTCCTTAAGGAGCAGCATATTTGTTAACAAATTTTTTTCCCAATATGACATATGGCACTTGGAACAAGTACTACATCTGAGCTTTCACAAAAGAAAATAATGTCATTTTATATCTGATTGAACTTACCTCCTTTTTATGTTCAAGAAGACTAAAGGAACCAATTTCAACTGTTTTATTTGTGGCATTTTTTTTAACAGAATAACTCTCACTAAGAGGATATTTTTAAAATATATTGTTAGAGTAATTATTTAAAACACTTTCTAACTTACAAGCAAAATTTGCGCAACAAATAAAAAACACTTCTAAAAAAATTCTTTTGGCATATGCTTGGATGGAGTAATTTCATGGCTGCCTTAAATAAATAATGGAAAATAATAATATGGTTCTGAGAAGCTTACCACTTAGTGGGTCAGACTAAAAAGTAAACAAATAATGACGATATGTAAAGTGACAATTATACAAAAAATTATATACAGTGATAGGATAAACACAGCCAGCCTGCATCACTTGTTCAAGTGGGGAAGTCTGAGTTTAGATAGGACTATGTGAAAACAAGTATTTCCTATTTGTTTACAAGGATCATGGGCACAGCATCCGTGATTTCACCTACAGTGGTTAAACACACATAAATTATTTTTATCCAAAATGACTTTGTTTGCCTAGAATGATTTTATGTGGTTGATTCAAATGTTTATATTCCATGCATATGTTTCATAAATAATTATCTCAGGAATGCTGGAAGTAGGTCAAAGAGATATGTACTGTGATAGAGGATATAGGGCAATCATAGCAATCAGTTTTGGAATTTTATAATAATTGTGTAGTTGATTTTGCATTCTTCTCATTTTAAATCTATGCTTAAGTCTCAATGAATGTTGTCTCTATAAAAAATTCAAGAGATGTTTGCCATAATAAAATTAATTTGTCATGCCAACTTTCATCCAACTTCCCACAGATGCTGGGGACTCCATCTCACCATCATCATGAAAAATGTCCAGCATATTTATTTTACAGATGTGGAAATTAAGACCTACAGTTAATGACTTTTCTAGATTTCTATAAATGATAAATATATAATCTTCATTAAAAGTTAAAATACTAATTCCATATTTATAAAATAAGGAACCAATGTGAACAGGGTGATAGTTGTCCAAAAATTGAGTGCAAGGTAAACTCTTTTTTTTTTTTTTTGGGTTATTTATCATTGTATATTTTGATTGTTACCCCAAATTTAAGAAATTATTAATGAAGAGCATAACTTTTTACATATTAATTATGATAGTTAATGATAGTTATTCATTTAAAAAGTGCTTGCAAAAAATAATTGTGGATGATTATTTCTTCCTGATTTTATTTTCAAATGTTTGTGTATGGAACATTGTTTTGGAAGGAAAGATTTAGCAGCATCACTCAGCTTATAATTAGTGTCAGATTTTTTTTTTTCCAATAAAACTTTTTATTTTTATTTTTATTTTTTATTTTTTTTATTTTTTTAATTATACTTTAAGTTTTAGGGTACATGTGCACATTGTGCAGGTTAGTTACATATGTATACATGTGCCATGCTGGTGCACTGCACCCACTAACTCGTCATCTAGCATTAGGTATATCTCCCAATGCTATCCCTCCACCCTCCCCCCACCCACCACAGTCCCCAGAGTGTGATATTCCCCTTCCTGTGTCCATGTGATCTCATTGTTCAATTCCCACCTATGAGTGAGAATACGCGGTGTTTGGTTTTTTGTTCTTGCAATAGTTTACTGAGAATGATGATTTCCAATTTCATCCATGTCCCTACAAAGGACATGAACTCATCATTTTTTATGGCTGCATAGTATTCCAGGGTGTATATGTGCCACATTTTCTTAATCCAGTCTATCATTGTTGGACATTTGGGTTGGTTCCAAGTCTTTGCTGTAGTGAATAATGCCGCAATAAACATACGTGTGCATGTGTCTTTATAGCAGCATGATTTAGAGTCCTTTGGGTATATACCCAGTAATGGGATGGCTGGGTCAAATGGTATTTCTAGTTCTAGATCCCTGAGGAATCGCCACACTGACTTCCACAATGGTTGAACTAGTTTACAGTCCCACCAACAGTGTAAAAGTGTTCCTATTTCTCCATATCCTCTCCAGCACCTGTTGTTTCCTGACTTTTTAATGATTGCCATTCTAACTGGTGTGAGATGGTATCTCATTGTGGTTTTGATTTGCATTTCTCTGATGGCTAGTGATGATGAGCATTTTTTCATGTGTTTTTTTGCTGCATAAATGTCTTCTTTTGAGAAGTGTCTGTTCATGTCCTTCGCCCACTTTTTGATGGGGTTGTTTGTTTTTATCTTGTAAATTTGTTTGAGTTCATTGTAGATTCTGGATATTAGCCCTTTGTCAGATGAATAGGTTGCGAAAATTTTCTCCCATTTTGTAGGTTGCCTGTTCACTCTGATGGTAGTTTCTTTGGCTGTGCAGAAGCTCTTTAGTTTAATTAGATCCCATTTGTCAATTTTGGCTTTTGTTGCCATGACTTTTGGTGTTTTCGACATGAAGTCCTTGCCCATGCCTATGTCCTGAATGGTAATGCCTAGGTTTTCTTCTAGGGTTTTTATCATTTTAGGTCTAACGTTTAAGTCTTTAATCCATCTTGAATTGATTTTTGTATAAGGTGTAAGGAAGGGATCCAGTTTCAGCTTTCTAAATATGGCTAGTCAGTTTTCCCAGCACCATTTATTAAATAGGGAATCCTTTCCCCATTGCTTGTTTTTCTCAGGTTTGTCAAAGATCAGATAGTTGCAGATATGCAGCGTTATTTCTGAGGGCTCTGTTCTGTTGCATTGATCTATATCTCTGTTTTGGTACCAGTACCATGCTGTTTTGGTTACTGTAGCCTTGTAGTATAGTTTGAAGTCAGGTAGTGTGATGCCTCCAGCTTTGTTCTTTTGGCTTAGGATTGCCTTGGCGATGCAGGCTCTTTTTTGGTTCCATATGAACCTTAAAGTAGTTTTTTCCAATTCTGTGAAGAAAGGCATTGGTAACTTGATGGGGATGGCATTGAATCTATAAATTACCTTGGGCAGTATGGCCATTTTCACGATATTGATTCTTCCTACCCATGAGCATGGAATGTTCTTCCATTTGTTTGTATCCTCTTTTATTTCCTTGAGCAGTGGTTTGTAGTTCTCCTTGAAGAGGTCCTTCACATCCCTTGTAAGTTGGATTCCTAGGTATTTTATTCTCTTTGAAGCAATTGTGAATGGGAGTTCACTCATGATTTGGCTCTCTGTTTGTCTGTTGTTGGTGTATAAGAATGCTTGTGATTTTTGTACATTGATTTTGTATCCTGAGACTTTGCTGAAGTTGCTTATCAGCTTAAGGAGATTTTGGGCTGAGACAATGGGGTTTTCTAGATATACAATCATGTGGTCTGCAAACAGGGACAATTTGACTTCCTCTTTTCCTAATTGAATACCCTTTATTTCCTTCTCTTGCCTAATTGCCCTGGCCAGAACTTCCAACACTATGTTGAACAGGAGTGGTGAGGGAGGGCATCCCTGTCTTGTGCCAGTTTTCAAAGGGAATGCTTCCAGTTGTTGCCCATTTAGTATGATATTGGCTGTGGGTTTGTCATAGATAACTCTTATTATTTTGAAATACGTCCCATCAATACCTAATTTATTGAGAGTTTTTAGCATGAAGGGTTGTTGAATTTTGTCAAAGGCTTTTTCTGCATCTATTGAGATAATCATGTGGTTTCTGTCTTTGGCTCTCTTTATATGCTGGATTACATTTATTGATTTGCGTATATTGAACCAGCTTTGCATCCCAGGGATGAAGCCCACTTGATCATAGTGGATAAGCTTTTTGACGTGCTGCTGGATTCGTTTTGCCAGTATTTTATTGAGGATTTTTGCATCAATGTTCACCAAGGATATTGTTCTAAAATTCTCTTTTTTGGTTGTGTCTCTGCCCAGCTTTGGTATCAGAATGATGCTGGCCTCATAAAATGAGTTAGGGAGGATTCCCTCTTTTTCTATTCATTGGAATAGTTTCAGAAGGAATGGTACCAGTTCCTCCTTGTACCTCTGGTAGAATTCGGCTGTGAATCCATCTGGTCCTGGACTCTTTTTGGTTAGTAAACTATTGATTATTGCCACAATTTCAGATCCTGTTATTGGTCTATTCAGAGATTCAACTTCTTCCTGGTTTAGTCTTGGGAGGGTGTTTGTGTCGAGGAATTTATCCATTTCTTCTAGATTTTCTAGTTTATTTGCGTAGAGGTGTTTGTAATATTCTCTGATGGTAGTTTGTATTTCTGTGGGATTGGTGGTGATATCCCCTTTATCATTTTTTATTGTGTCTATTTGATTCTTCTCTCTTTTTTTCTTTATTAGTCTTGCTAGCGGTCTATCAATTTTGTTGATCCTTTCAAAAAACCAGCTCCTGGATTCATTAATTTTTTGAAAGGTTTTTTGTGTCTCTATTTCCTTCAGTTCTGCTCTGATTTTAGTTATTTCTTGCCTTCTGCTAGCTTTTGAATGTGTTTGCTCTTGCTTTTCTAGTTCTTTTAATTGTGATGTTAGGGTGTCAATTTTGGATCTTTCCTGCTTTCTCTTGTGGGCATTTAGTGCTATAAATTTCCCTCTACACACTGCTTTGAATGCATCCCAGAGATTCTGGTATGTTGTGTCTTTGTTCTCATTGGTTTCAAAGAACATCTTTATTTCTGCCTTCATTTCGTTATGTACCCAGTAGTCATTCAGGAGCAGGTTGTTCAGTTTCCATGTAGTTGAGCGGTTTTGAGTGAGATTCTTAATCCTGAGTTCTAGTTTGATTGCACTGTGGTCTGAGAGATAGTTTGTTATAATCTCTGTTCTTTCACATTTGCTGAGGAGAGCTTTACTTCCAAGTATGTGGTCAATTTTGGAATAGGTGTGGTGTGGTGCTGAAAAAAATGTATATTCTGTTGATTTGGGGTGGAGAGTTCTGTAGATGTCTATTAGGTCTGCTTGGTGCAGAGCTGAGTTCAATTCCTGGGTATCCTTGTTGACTTTCTGTCTCGTTGATCTGTCTAATGTTGACAGTGGGGTGTTGAAGTCTCCCATTATTAATGTGTGGGAGTCTAAGTCTCTTTGTAGGTCACTCAGGACTTGCTTTACGAATCTGGGTGCTCCTGTATTGGGTGCATATATATTTAGGATAGTTAGCTCTTCTTGTTGAATTGATCCCTTTACCATTATGTAATGGCCTTCTTTGTCTCTTTTGATCTTTGTAGGTTTAAAGTCTGTTTTATCAGAGACTAGGATTGCAACCCCTGCCTTTTTTTGTTTTCCATTTGTTTGGTAGATCTTCTTCCATCCTTTTATTTTGAGCCTATGTGTGTCTCTGCACGTGAGATGGGTTTCCTGAATACAGCACACTGATGGGTCTTGACTCTTTATCCAATTTGCCAGTCTGTGTCTTTTAATTGGAGCGTTTAGTCCATTTACATTTAAAGTTAATATTGTTATGTGTGAATTTGATCCTGTCATTATGATGTTAGCTGGTTATTTTGCTCGTTAGTTGATGCAGTTTCTTCCTAGTCTTGATGGTGTTTACATTTTGGCATGATTTTGCAGTGGCTGGTACCGGTTGTTCCTTTCCATGTTTAGCGCTTCCTTCAGGAGCTCTTTTAGGGCAGGCCTGGTGGTGACAAAATCTCTCAGCATTTGCTTGTCTGTAAAGTATTTTGTTTCTCCTTCACTTATGAAGCTTAGTTTGGCTGGATATGAAATTCTGGGTTGAAAATTGTTTTCTTTAAGCATGTTGAATATTGGCCCCCACTCTCTCCTGGCTTGTAGGGTTTCTGCCGAGAGATCCGCTGTTAGTCTGATGGGCTTCCCTTTGAGGGTAACCTGACCTTTCTCTCTGGCTGCCTATAATATTTTTTCCTTCATTTCAACTTTGGTGAATCTGACAATTATGTGTCTTGGAGTTGCTCTTCTCGAGGAGTATCTTTGTGGCATTCTCTGTATTTCCTGAATCTGAACGTTGGCCTGCCTTGCTAGATTGGGGAAGTTCTCCTGGATAATATCCTGCAGAGTGTTTTCCAACTTGGTTCCATTCTCCCCATCACTTTCAGGTACACCAATCAGATGTAGATTTGGTCTTTTCACATAGTCCCATATTTCTTGGAGGCTTTGCTCGTTTCTTTTTATTCTTTTTTCTCTAAACTTCCCTTCTCCCTTCATTTCATTCATTTCATCTTCCATTGCTGATACCCTTTCTTCCAGTTGATCACATCGGCTCCTGAGGCTTCTGCATTCTTCATGTAGTTCTCGAGCCTTGGTTTTCAGCTCCATCAGCTCCTTTAAGCACTTCTCTGTATTGGTTATTCTAGTTATACATTCTTCTAAATTTTTTTCAAAGTTTTCAACTTCTTTGCCTTTGGTTTGAATGTCCTCCCATAGCTCAGAGTAATTTGATCGTCTGAAGCCTTCTTCTCTCAGCTCGTCAAAGTCATTCTCCATCCAGCTTTGTTACGTTGCTGGTGAGGAACTGCGTTCCTTTGGAGGAGGAGAGGCACTCTGCCTTTTAGAGTTTCCAGTTTATCTGTTCTGTTTTTTCCCCCATCTTTGTGGTTTTATCTACTTTTGGTCTTTGATGATGGTGATGTACAGATGGGTTTTTGGTGTGGATGTCCTTTCTGTTTGTTAGTTTTCCTTCTAACAGACAGGACCCTCAGCTGCAGGTCTGTTGGAATACCCTGCCATGTGAGGTGTCAGTGTGCCCCTCCTGGGGGGTGCCTCCCAGTTAGGCTGCTCAGGGGTCAGGGGTCAGGGACCCACTTGAGGAGGCAGTCTGCCCGTTCTCAGATCTCCAGCTGCATGCTGGGAGAACCACTGCTCTCTTCAAAGCTGTCAGACAGGGACATTTAAGTCTGCAGAGGTTACTGCTTTTTGTTTGTCTGTGCCCTGCCCCCAGAGGTGGAGCCTACAGAGGCAGGCAGGCTCCTGGAGCTGTGGTGGGCTCCACCCAGTTCGAGCTTCCCTGCTGCTTTGTTTACCTAATCAAGCCTGGGCAATGGCGGGCGCCCCTCCCCCAGCCTGGCTGCTTCCTTGCAGTTTGATCTCAGACTGCTGTGCTAGCAATCAGCGAGACTCCGTGGGCGTAGGACCCTCCGAGCCAGGTGCGGGATATAATCTTGTGGTGCGCCGTTTTTTAAGCCTGTTGGAAAAGCGCAGTATTTGGGTGAGAGTGACCCGATTTTCCAGGTGCGTCCGTCACCCCTTTCTTTGACTCGGAAAGGGAACTCCCTGACCCCTTGCGCTTCCCAAGTGAGGCAATGCCTCGTCCTGCTTCGGCTTGCACACGGTGCGCGCACCCACTGACCTGCGCCCACTGTCTGGCACTCCCTAGTGAGATAAACCCGGTACCTCAGATGGAAATGCAGAAATCACCCGTCTTCTGCGTCGCTCACTCTGGGAGCTGTAGACCGGAGCTGTTCCTATTTGGCCATCTTGGCTCCTCAGTGTCCGGTAATCTCTTTCTTGATAGACCTTCCCTCTGAGAGCTGACTTAACTGCACATGTAAAAATATATGTTCTTTATAGGAGAAAAGGCATACAAATTTATTTGATCATAGTTTTATGTGGCACGGGAGCCTTTAAAATGAGGACCCCACACAAAATCTGTCATTTAAAATGTTTAGTTTGTGTATTTCTTTATTCTTCCTAGTCTTCAACATAAGCACTACAGCCCCAACCTCTCACACATCTCTACTTACATCATGATAAGTAATTATAATTAGCCTTAGATGTCACCTGCCATCTTACTTTTTTGATGGCTCAGAATAATTTGTCTCAATTGTGTGAAGACAACTTTTTGAGTTCAGGTATGAAGCCTGGGTCATTATCTTATTTCCTGGGTGGGTCGTTATCTTAATTCCTGGCATGCTCCTTTTGTTTAGAAAAATCATGTTAAAAACTTTTAGTGACCTTGTGCATGGTATTATGATTCTCTGAATTCTTGGCCTAGAACATGACAAATTATACATCAGAAACTCAAAGAAGTTGTACAGCTGTTTTTCTTTGCCATTCCACACCATCCACAGTTCATCAACATAATGGTGAAGCAACACACTCAGAGATGTTCCTTTTTTTAAAAAATTGTTTTCCAGCTGTGATAAGAATACAATCATATGTGAACAACAAACTGAAAGGAATACTGAAATGAATTGTAGAGTTGAAAGCAAAATATAGAACAAAATGATATTGATAAATGTTTAATTTTATTGTTCATTGCAGTATTAAGTATTGTAAGCTATTCAAAATATGAAGAACACTTTTCTACATCTAAGCCAACATTTCTGTTACAATTGATAAAGGAAGTGATTCTAGAAGAGTGAATTGAAGTGTACCTCATCTCCTTCCCAGTTGAATTAGTTACTGTTTCACAAGTTTCCTCCAGACCAAATATTATTTTGAAGAATGTGTCAGCCCACATTAAGCCTTATTGGACCATGTGGTGAAACTCTTTCCAATTCAATGGTTGAGGGTTACTGAAACTCTTGGCAAGAGTGGATGAGGGTAGGGGAAGGGTCACATAATATCAGTGAATATTTTCCTATGTCTTCTGAGAAACAAAACAAGACAAATGGGCACCATTTGTTCAGAACATTGCATGAGTCCAAATTAATGTTAATGGAAATAAAGCCTTCTGTGTCTTCTTTTGTTTTAGTAACATTTCTTCTTGAATAATGTCATCTCTACCAATTGATTTACCTTGTCTCTGCATGTTGACTATATTTCCTAACTCTAAACTCCAAAATTTCAAAATCTTCTGCCTAGACATATCTCCAAAACCCAGGCATCTAAAAGTGAAAGATATCACGAACTCACCATTTCAAAACTGCAGTAGCTTTTAAAGTTACCTGCTGATAGCCACTTCTTCCACCTATGTAGATGACCATATAATTTATTTTTCAATCTAGGGCACTTTTGTGAATTCAAAGTGCTTCTATTAATAATTACCGAGTCTGAATGCATATAGAGGAAGAGTCCTGGGGAAATCAGTATGTATGATCATCCCATATATGCTGCATTTAGTTAAATCCTCCATGGAGTCTAAAACTTTGAAAATAGTAATCAGCTTTTTTTCCCTTATCTCACCCCTTTTAAGGAATCATTAGGTCTTATCAAGATTACCACCATTAAAAAAAATAGCTTTTGTGACCAGTCATGTACTTACTCCTTATTTAAAATACTCATATATTTTTTTTCCTGAACATGAAAAGATCCTAACTGGCTCCTGTGATTTCAGCGTCTTCTCTTTACAATATTCTCATTGCTTATCAGGAGGATTTTTCAAAAATAAAAATCTAGCCAAGTTATTTTTCTCTCGGCACATTTTCATTACTCTCTTACGCCGCTTAAATGCCTCTTGGGATGTAGAGCCTTTTAGTTTTACGCTTCAGCTGATATAGCTCACCTCCCTGCCACCTGTTGTTAGAGCCATGTGCAACCATTCCTTGTTTCCCTAATTCAGCGTACTTTTGACTGCATGATGTCTTTATACAAGTCGTACCCTACTCATGAAAAATCCCTGTCATGTCTTATGATTAAGGAAAGCTTAGAGTTTCTTGATTATCTTTGAATATGATTTTATTTGAACAATATAAAGCACATAATATTTTCCTCTTTCCTTCATTTCTTCCTTTATTTTCTTGGAATTCACCTGGAAAGGCTGGCTGTGAGGTAAATGTTGTCTATTTATCACCCAAACAACTACATAGAACATTTTCATTTTAAAGGCAGATCAGTAGACAGAGTCAAAATGCAGGGACAAAATTTGCACACAATATTCAAGTGTTTAAAAATATGTTTACTTTTGCATTTTATTACTAATTTTATCTGCAAAATACGAATTACTGTTAGTGAGTAAAAAACAAAATACCCACTTTGTCTAGGATTAATGAAAGTTATATTAATTGTTTCCTGATACGTATGTTTGCTGACAAAAAGTCTAACTTTCTGGGAGGGAGTTGAGCCTTTATTTTTCTTAGGATTTGATTTGTTAGTTAAATAGGATGATTCAAGTTTTACTTATGTTTTATAAGCTCTTAGGAATCACTTTATAAACAGCACCTCTTTCCAATTTTCTATATCCTTTTCTTCTGGAACTCATATTAAATCCAATTTGGAGAGGTTTAGTCTTGCTTCTTTATCTGTTAACGATTTCTTCTTTGTGCTAAATTGTATGTGATTTCCTTATTAACTATATTCCAATACAATAATTCTGTTGTTAGTTTTATCTTAGAAATTGTTCAATTTTTCTATTGATGTATTTATTTCAATAACACATTTTTCATTTCTGTAAGTTTTTGACAGTTTGCACATGTAGATGTTTCTAAATCTTGTTTTTTTATTGCCTATATTGCTTACTTCATTTATTTGAACTTTTTAACATATTTGCCTTTCTTTCAGATCAATTTCATAAGTTGTATGATTATAATTCTCTTATTGTTTTTACTGGCACACTTTCCTAACATTTGGTTTCTTTTCATGCTTTATAATGTCGAACAGTGACCTTATTGGAATGGGTTGTTTTCCAGATGAATTGGATGTACCCCGAGTTACAGAGATTCCTTATCTGACTTCTTCGCATTTGACTTAACTAGTTTTGGGTAAATTTTCATGGTAATTTCTTGCCTTATTTCTGAACCCTGCACTTACAGGCATGAGGTTCAAAATTTCACAAGTGATTATCTTTACCTATGTCTAGTGCTTACTTCTGTTCTAATTGGGCTAGTGGGAGGATTTTTTTTTTTATTCTTCATTTTACAGATGGTTCCTAGCTTTAGGTTGAGAGATTAGTTCCAGATTCACATATTGCTTAGACCTGTGGCCTCAATTTCAGTTCTTGCATGGGTTTTAACACTGCGGCCCCTTAGGCACATTTCATTATGATGCTCCATGTGCTATTTGCTTTACTTCTCATTTATCTTTATGGCTACTTCTTCCTCTTTTTTCTACTGTCATTAAAAAACAAAACAGAATAAAAACTTTCTTGCTTTAAAATTTAACTAAGTTAAAAAATTCAAAATAAAACTAAACAAAAAAATGTTTGTTTAGCATTTCTATTCAGTGTGAACTGAGAGAAGAGCTTCCCATATTTCCTCTCTGTTTTTGACAAATACAAATATTTTGTAATTTTTTTCTAACTTAGATCACATCTTGATCTTCTCTTTGCTCAGATCTTACCTCAACCATTTCTAATATTCTACTTTGTGAAGTTACATGCAGTTCTTCTCTAAATACACTTGCAATTTTTCAGCTTATAACCTGGGAAGTAAGTAAGAACCCATTCCTCCAAGATTCTCTTAAGCATATTTGAACTTTTCCTTAGCACCCTCTTCCCCCAGGAACTCTTCCTAAGACTAAAGAGGCTTTCCATTCTATGTTGTACCAGTAAAAGTCTGCATGATAACTGATGGCTAGTAAGCACTAAATAAATATTGTTAAATGAATAAATTCATAAGTGAAAAGAATAAACCAGGCAACTGTATCTAATTCTAGCCTATGTTCTCTTTTCCTCAGTCCTCTGGGTTTAGGAAAAGCTTCCCTCTTACATTTCCTGTCATACACAGTCTAAATTCTCTCTACCCAAGGTTTACATCAACACTTTAGCTTATGTTAGCCAGGCTTCCTTTTAACTGTATGCATATATATATATATATACACACACACATATATATAGAGAGAGAGAGGTTTTGGAATACATAAAAATATATAAAAATATATGCAAATATATATGTATAAATATATCCAAATATATATTTATACATAATATATAAAATATATAAATATATAAAATTATATATAATATTAAAATATATAAAAATATACATTAAAAATATAAAAAACTTAACCATCCCTGTTTTTCAGAACAGTAGTCTGCAAATTACAACTATTCATTTACTTTTTTGTTCTAGGTAGTTGATACTACTTAGCTCTTGGGGCAATCAACTTTCTTTCCTAGTCTTAGTACTAGAACTTCCAGGAAGCTCTGACTTACTGAACAATGAAAACTCCACAGTTAAATATTTTCAAAATCTTATACATATTTCCATGGAGAAGTTACAAAATTACAAAGTTGTTTAAGTGAATTTACAGAGGTTCCCTATTTCACAAATAGTGATAACCTTGAAGAGATTAAAAACTGTAAATTGGACATTTTAATCTTGATAGTAGAATTCACTATGTGTCCTAAAGGAGGTATAGAAGACATAAAAACAAGTGTGCCTGGGATCCAGCAGATAACTACATCTCTGTGGACCCTCTCACTTGTTATACTGGCTATACATATTCACTCCTGCCTTTTGCATACATAATCCCCTTTGGTTACTCTTCACACTTCAATCATTTTTTTAAGATACATCAAATTTCACCTCTTAGACATGGACATTCTTGACAACTTCCTTCTTGTAAAGTCTAGTCTATCCTCCTTCACTATTTCTTCCATTTGTATTTTCTGCATGTTTATCCCTGAGCACTAATGAAACATATCATTATGATTATTTACTTAAATGCCTTTCTTCTCTTTTATATTTGAGTTCTTCAGTGTTCTGTTTCATAAGAATTTTGTGGTGTAATTCTTGTAATATAGTAGTGCTTTATTATGTTTGAATGGATAAATCAAGATGTAAGTTTAATGTTTTGCTCTCCTTTTCTCTTCTTGTTCCATCTCCATGACTCTGATTCCTCACTTCTTTCTAGTGCATTAAACCATGAACTTAAAGTGAATGACCACTGAGCTTGCATCTACTGAAAGCTAGCCTTCAGTGGATCTCCACTGGGTAGAAGGAGTGGAGAAGAATGATTTGTGGACTGATAGATTTTTACATGGGCTCTCTCTATTGTCTCTGGCCTGTGTCTTGGATTGCTCTTGAGCTGCCACATACAGAATCTTCAGATTGGCAGCAGGAATAAAGAACAAATATTCTTTAAAATATGCAATCGTTTCCCATTAACCAACCCTTTCTTTATGTTGCAAGATACATTTAATCCCTTGGGGATGCATAAAAACAAAAATTCATTCTTTTATTTCTAGAGAGGGAGAGAGCATGTTTTGGCATGCCAAGAATACACAAACAATGAAGGACTGTCTGAATCACCAGAGTTTAAATTTTGATAAACTCAACTTTTAGGGCTGAATGTACTTTATCACATTGCATTTTGAAATTCAGTAATCCATGTATGGCATATGTATCCTTGAATTGCCTACAATTTTCAATTAAGCAAACCATGGCATTCATCAGACATTACAAATAAACATAGGTTATTATATTTTTCAATCATGGTGTTTTCAAACATTTTTTTGCCTCCTTCCTGTAACATCAAATCTCTTTTCATTTTCAATTTGCCTTCTTCAAACCAGTGCCCCATAGGATGTGCCATGCAAAAATGGCAAGTCTCTATTTCTGCCAAGCCTAATTTAGATATCACTAAAGGTTTCAACAAACATATGTGGGAGAATGAATTTGGGAGGAATTGTTAAAGCAAAATGGCTTATATCTGCCGCAGTTTGAGAAAACGGTAAAGGTTATTAAGAAATAAACTTCCACTAAACCAAAAATAAGAATAAAGATGCTAAAAGTATGTAATTACCCTGAGTGGCAAATGAGTTTGGATAGCTATCTAAAATCTATAGGTTAACTGAAAAACAGTGTTTCTTTATGAGCATGATATGGCCTTGAGTTAACGAACCACAGTATCCATGATATGCATTTGTACTATAGGTTAAATTTTAAATGAAGCTTAAACAAATAAGGACTCCACATATCGCCCCAAGCAAAACTAAATTGTTATTAGGTTTTACACAGCAGGAGGTAAACATTCTTGAAATAATTGAACGTGATAGGATATTATTCTTACTTTTTTTTTGAAAGTCTTACACAAGACATATCTCATTTCCTCTAAATTGGTTCTGTAGACTGAAAAAGGACAATGATCTGATTTGTGGGATGGAACAGAGCCACCTCTTTGTAAAGGATATTAATTATCATAATAAAATACTATTGAAGTAGAGGCAGAGGAAATTACAATGGATTTTTAACTTGATAAAGGTAGAACTTACTCTTTTGAATTATTCATGAATATTAACTTAATCAGTAAATGTTATAATGCATGTACCAATAAGAAAAACATTTTAAATTAAAAAATATATCACATACAGATACTCCTAAACCAAAGTAAAATTTTCATTATTTTTTTAATTGATTTTTTTTTTTATTTGTAAAGGGAGACATGGAGGTGGGGCAGGGCCAGGGAAATAATGCAGTGTGTCTTTAAATATATATACTTGAATAAATTATCTTCACATATTTATAGTGTTCTAAAACAAAGTCTTTAAAATTTACAGCATCCAATTTCTCATTCTAGAAACTGAGACCTAGATAGTGAAAATTATTATGTGTTTTTAACATTAGATAATATATTTTTGAAATTGAAAACCCTCATTAATACAAGTCAATTTTAACTTTCAGAAAAATGCATAAACTAATTAAATAGGAGCTAATCAATATTTCAAAAGCAATGTCATAAAAACCACCTTGAATCTTGTATAATAAAATACATGGTTTGGCTTTACAATAATCCATCCACATTGGTGCTTAAGGTAATGTTTCTCCAGAGCAAATTTTTTTACACAGTAAGAGAAAGCAAATATATAAGAACAAAGTGCATATAACCACATTGCCAATTTCTGAAATCTTAAGATCAGGTGACCTGTAACTTAATAAACTCAGCAACACCTTTAACCCTTCCCATAACCTTTCTCCTGTTTCATTAGGATAGCTGTTGGCATCAGCATTAGCATTAGGGAATGGCAGTAATACTTTAGGACACTGTGTTCTGACTACAGAGAAAACAGGTTAGATGTTAAAGGGGCAGCACAAAGTTAAGTTAGAGAAATGGAAATGGCAGGAAATCCAGCAGGATTGTGGAGCACCATTGAGGCAAAGGGACCCACTCAGGGAAAGAGTCATGGTAGGGATCAAATCCACAGAAGGCCATGTAGAATTCAGTTCAGTCCTAGGCAGCTTAGTATTAACAGTTAATATGGAGAACCCAGCCATCTTTACTTGAGAATATTTAGAGATGTCTTCAAAGATTTAGGATGCTAAAAGTGGAAAAAAATTATTAGATAAACCTGTAAGAGCAAGAAATAAACAAACAAAAACAAAAATGCTGAAAGGAAAGGATGCAGGAAACAACCAGTGAGAAAACAGTGACAACAGGAATCAGACAGGGAACAAGGCTGTGGTGGTGGTGGTGGTGGTGGTGGTGGTGGTGGTGGTGCTGGTGGTGGTAGTTAGCTATTCTGGGGAAAGGAAGCAGATATTACATTAGTACAAAAGACACAGACAAAAGATTAACCTCATAGGAGGCACTGACTTTTCCCAGAATTACTCATTAGGACTGTCCCTCCATTAGATTAGGTTCTTTTCTTCTGGGGCATAGGAGTCCTAAATATACTTTTGTAAACTTACTGGCCTTCAGAATGGTAGCTACTCCTCTGCTACACTTCTGGTTCACTGGGTTTCCCAGAGGAAATGGTGAATAAGGGAAAGCTTTTTAGAATTATCTCTTTTTTTTTTAATCAGATCTTAGTCTAATTGTTTGCCACATTCTATTGATTCTACATCTACAATAATTTTTCTCATCTAAGTCTCACTTCTGTTTCTACTTCTAGTGTCTTAATTCCTTCTCTTTTCTTCTATACTGATCTCCACTCCTTTGTGTCATCCTTTTTAATGCATTCTGCGTGGTGCTATCAGAATCTTTCTGAAATATCAATCTAATGGAATCTTCCCTAGTCAAACTCATCTGATGACTACCTGCTGGAGAGAAAATAAACACAAGTTCCTCAATATAGAAATATGACTATTGCATAAAAGATTCTCCACTTAGATTTTATAATCTGTCACACAGAGTGACATGTTCTTAGATTATACTCTTCCTTCATTGTTTCTCCATTGTTTTCTTAGGAAATCTTACCTATTCCCTTTACAGTGCCATCTCCAATCAGCATGATCAGAATCACCTGCTTAAAATATTCTCTCCTCCTGAAACCATTGCATAATGTTGAGATCTCTATCATACTGTATATTACAACATATTTTAATATTATTTATCTTTCTCTTCACATGAAGAACTTACCTGGAAAAGAGAAAACTGAGATCAGGATCTATACCAATTCCTGGGCAAAAGGCTAATGATCAATGGGATGTGTAGTGATATTGAAGGGGTAAGAAAGAAATATTGAAGATAATTTAGTTTAGAGAAATGTATATGATAAAATTCTTAAAATGGGCTCAGGTCAAGAGAATAGTTGTATTTTATTTGAATACTTATTTGTAATAAGTTTGTATGTAATAATATGTAATACATATTATTTGTATGTATTACATATAATTTGTATGTAATACATATTATTTGTAATAGTATGTAGGAAAGCACTTTGATGTAGGAGAGCACTTCATATTGTGAATATGATGACCTACTATATAAATATTGATCGGCCTCTGTCTCTAAGTAACTCATTGTTTTTAAATAGGTTCCTAAGGAAAGTGGTTCCAGCATTAGGGATGGAGGTTATACACATGTTTTCAACAGGTTGGATTCCTCTGTATCAAAAAGACATGGCTTTTACCATGGCCAAGAGACTAGTTTTCAATTGGCTAAAATGAATCATTGATCTCCAGAGTGTTTCCATAATTCACAGACTAGACAATTATGTGGCAGTAAATTGATTGCACTGAATTCCTCACATTATTAAAAGAAATGTGCTGAATGGAAACGATCTCAGTACATTTTGTGCTGCTATAACAAAATATCTAAGACTGCATACTTTATGAAGAACAGAAATTTATTTTCTCACAGTTCTGGAGACTGAGAGGTCCAAGATCAATGTACCAGTATCTGGTGTCTGGTATGGGCCCAGTCTCTGCTTTCAAGATGATGCCTTGAACACTGCTTCCTTTAGTGGGGAGGAAGGCTGTTCATTAAAAAGGGGCAGAAGATAGAGAACCCACACCAAATAGCCCTTTTGAGAGCAGCATCAATCCCTTCATGAGGGTGGATACTATATAGCCCGAACACCTTTCAAAAAATTTCCTCTCCCAATTATCTTGCATTGGGAATTAATTTTCCATACATGAATTTTAAGAAACACATTTAAACCACAGAAGGTATCTATTCTGAAATTAGATTTTGTTTCCTTGTCTTTTATGTCTCTGCTAGTACCATAGGCTTAGCTGAGCTCTCTTTTATATAGTTTTGTATTTCTCACACCATTATTACTAAGAGAGTAACTTCAAATAAAAATGAGAAAATTCCCATAAGATTTACTGGCCTTATCTTAAACTCAGAAGCAGTTGGCTGCACAAAGCAGTGAAATATCTATTTGAGGCTAATGTTTTAACTGGGAGAAAATAAGTTTTTAGGTAAGGATTTTATAAGAGCCAATGTATGCTAGAAATAACAAATAATATACATATGGTCCTGCTTCATTTAAACCTTATAGCCCAAATTCATTGGTTCGTCAAGCAGCCAAAAGTAGAGACTATGTGTGTATGTATGTTTGAGTGTGTTTTGTGTGTGTGTGTGTTTGGGGGAGTGGGGTGGAATAGACATCACAGCTCTATTGGTTATAACTAAAAATGTTGGCTTCTCATCTTCATTATTTGCTTTCTGCTAATTTTAAGGTTTTATTATACATAATATGGGTTTATTGAGTTGAAATCTGAGACTGTCTTTTGATGATTAGGAGCTTCTTATGCCACCAGGAAAATGGTAAAATAAATGGGAGAGGTGTCAGCACTAGTGGAGGTGATGAGTTGGATGATGTGTACTGTCACAAAATAGGGACAGGGAGAGGTAAGACTGGAATTCTTTCAGTGGAAAGAGAGATGTGTTTTTTTGGCTATCCAAGGACATGCATTATAATTCACATCCATTTTGCTTTATGCTTGACTTCCTTTTTTTTGTCTAAAGTGATGTACTTTATATGGTTTGTGTTGAGGTATAATTTACATAAAATAAAGTGCACAGATCAAGATTGTACAGTTTGATAAGTTTTGACAATTTTATATATCCATGTAACCACCACCCAAGATATAAAGCTTTTCCATCATTCCGGAAAGTTCCCTCATGCCCCTTTTTAGTAAATCCCCCCACCTCCCATGCATAATAAGAAATCATTATGTAATTTCTATTAGTACAGATGAGTCTTCTATATTCTTGGATTTTGTCTAAATGAAATCATGCAGCATATATTCTTTTGTGTTTTGTTGCTTTTGCTCAAAATTCGGTTTTTAAGATCCATTCATTTACCAGTAAATTTTTATTTTAGTTTAGTTCTCTGAGTATTAGTTCATTGTGTAAATATACTATGATTTGTTTATGAATTCTTCTATTGATGAACATCTGGGTTAAGTTTTAGGCTTTTATGAATAAAGCTTCTATATACAATGTATATTCTTTCTTTTCAGTAAATTTTAGCAGTGGAACTGACACCAATACTTGATTCTGCTTTGAGGACTTTGAATGTAGTTTTAGTTTTAAGACATGTCAGTGGGTTAGCGTTTGAAATTCACCTGGAAGAATGTTACTTGATTGAAGAGTCTCAAGGGTAGAAAGTCTCAAGGATAGAAAATGAAATGGCATTTAATGAAGAGACAGTGTTTTAAAGACTATAGCTTCATAATATGTTTTAATATCTGGTAGTGTTAGTCCCATGTCAATGCATTTTTCCATTTTGGGAAGCAGAATTTCTAAAGAAGTATTTTTGCCTGTTCATTTATTTTTCATGTGAACTTTATAATCTGCTAATTTAGTTAAGGAGAACTCTTACTGATAAATTATAAAAATTGCATTGAATTTTTAGATTAAATTCAAGAGAATTGGTATAATACTGGGTCTGAGTCTTCCGATCCACACAAAGGAAAGTTTTCCTTTTTAGCTCTCATTAGTATTTGAAAATTATCTTAATGTAGATATTACCCATTGCTTCTTAAGCTTAAATCTAGCTGTTAGTAAGTTCTTTTTGTGTGTGTAAATTAGCCAGGCCTGGTTTCTGTCACCTGTACTGAAACAGGTGAAATATAAATTAAGAAGGTCTCTATTTATCGATGGTGGATGGGGGGGGCAAGTCTCTAACGTGATTTTTTTTACACATGGATAAATGCAGCACTCTTTAAATTTACAGTTTCAAAGTTGTTGGTTGAATAATAGCAAATTTGCATTGCAGACAATAAGCCTTTTCTTGGGAAACTGGATCAAGAACTAGGTTATATTCTTTTTGATACTTAATATTAGACAATTCAGATAAATTTTGGAGGCCCCAAATTAGATCAAATGGCAGAAAAAATGCCCAGATATTTAGAAGCAAGATATTTTAACTAGTGAGCCAGGACCAGTGCCAAGACCAGAATTATTTTGGGGATGGGCTGTTGTCAGACAACTGAATTCCTTCTCAACTGTCCCTTTGGCATAGTGTGTATGTTCTTGGAGGAAAATTTGGTATGTAAGTGTGTTTTATGGGCATCTGTGAAAATCAGAGGGAGAAACAGAGCTAGGGAGAGAGAAAAAGACAGACAGAGATAGGCAGCTAATTCATAAAGCTGTAACATGGAGCGTACAGGAGAATTTTGACAAATAGTAGTTGCAGGGTTTTTCCACCCTTATCCCTAAGGACATATGTTGCTAAGGGCACATGAAAATTTTACATGTGATCATGAGAATATTATGTAAATTCAAACTGAAAAACTGAGGGAAGAACAATCCAGACTGAACTTATAAATAATAGTAATCTATATAATTTTTAAAAGTAAGATATTTTATATCTGAAGATGAAGTTTTAAGATATATTGATAGCAACTGCATATGGAAGTTTCCTATTTTATTAATATCAAATAATTTATTAAGTAATATATTTTGATTTATTATATTTTTTAAGTTAGTATATTATTAAAAAGTGATTTATACAATAAAAATATAAGAAATAAAATATGTATGAAGTAAAAAAAACCCATTCTTAGTGACTCAAACTAATGCTATTAAAGGTACCCAATGTTAACAATTTTGTGAATATCTTTTTAATATTTATTTCCTCTATATATTATATTTAATAAACATATAATCTTATATATGATATCTTGAACATCATATTTTTTACTCAACCTCTCATGAAAATTTCCACTTCAGCATACATACATCAATCTCTTTCTAATGATGTTTCATATTGTATCACATTCTACATGTATTGCACCATATGTTTAGTGCTTTTATTGAACTAAGTACTGAAATACAAAATTTCTAGACAAAATATTAGTTAACTTAGTAGAGTAATGTTCATTACAGAAACTATGAGAAGATCATAAAATGTTGGTAGTGTTTAGTTTTCAAAAACTCTGAGTCTCTCATGTCTTTGATTCCATAATCAAGTCTCTAGTCCCATGTCCAATCTATAAGACCAAAGTGCAAATATACAGAATTTCTGGCAATCGGTCAGAGGTTTTACTCTTCATGTTTCCATAACTACTTGATTCTATTCCTAACTAATATGAATCTTATGTTCTGTGGATCTTAGTCTCATTCCTGCATCTTGCCCGTTATATTTAAGATGTGTATGTGGTATCTCCAGTATTTGACACTTTCTAGAAGAATATGACTTAAATATTTGGATCAAGGCTCCATGCTACAGTGGGAAGAGTAGCAATCACTGACACTTTATTATTCAGGAATCTTTACTGGACCAGTGCTTATATCACCATGGGGGAGGGCGAGTGAGTTTGGAATTTCATATGGGCCATATACAATTGAGCAAATGGAGAGTGAAGCTGGGTTTGGGGCTTTGAAAACAAGGGTTAATATAAGGCGCATTCATGTATAAAAGTAATAAGCCTATTTTTAAGTCTTTATTTAATAAGTGATTTTTGCTTAAGGATATTGATAAAATATTTTCGTTAGGTTCAAAATATAAATATAACTGTGTTGGATTCTAGCAAGATAATCTTGCTGGAGTGAATTAAATTACTTTGGTTATTCTGTCAAAGTTTCTTTGAAGAGATAAATCCTGAGCTATGTTTTAATGCTGAAGGAATGGTTCCAGGTTATAGTGGAAGTTCCTCGCATGGACAAGGTATGGCATGTGTGATGATATTAAGACTTGTGTGTTTATTAGCATCTGCTTTCCAAAATGTTTTTATATGCATATTTGTAGGGAAGAGAGAGGCTGAACAAAGACAAAGAAGGAGCCAAAGCTGGAATGAGTTTAGAAGACAAAGAAAGAGGTGCTGCAAATAGTTTTATTGGTTTAAATTTATATAACCTTTGTGAGGTTTTTCATTGCTTCACAATGTGGAAATGTATGTTTCTGCCATACATGCATGTGTAACTTGCCATGCATATTTATTTCTGTATGAAATCATCATTTTGGTAACTCCTTCAGGACTCAAAATGAATTTGAGATGCATTTATAGCACTATTTTGTAAGCTTCAAAAATAGTCTAGCTGAAATGTCTTAAGCCACAAACAATATTTTTCTTCAAAGTAAATCCATCACTGAATAAAACTCAATATAAGTATTTCCAGGTAATTTTTGAAAGTTCTGCATGAGTAGTTGTAATATTTTGTATCTATAATTTCTGTATTTGAAACATTTAAGAGCCTCCTTGAGTTGGGATGGCTGCTATATATATATATATATATATATATATGTGTGTGTGTGTGTGTGTGTGTGTGTGTGTGTGTGTGTATATATATGTATGTATATATGTAGTTGGACTTAAATTAGTAAATACTTCAATATGAGATTCCATTTTTATCCCAAAGGCAGAGAAGTAGTAAACAGTTAAGAGATATGTCCTAAATAAACTAAAGTCATATTATGACCTAAATGAAATAAAATATTGATTTATATCCAATAAGCCTCTAATTTATTTTCAAGATTGAATACTAGAATTTACATCCTAGCTATGGATGCCAGAGATTAAGAAAATGTGTGTATTTGATATTTTACTTTCTCCTAAAAGTCTGCTCCAGGTTTTGTTTGTTTGCTTGCTTTATTGTCAAAAGAAGGCCAGAGGGAATTTATACTGTGGATAAAGTCTCATGCGTCAAGCACATTCTAGCCACATGTTTAGGGAACATTTTTAAAAATGAAATTTAACTGATATTTTTCAAGTTGCAGGTTACACAGTGTTCAATATATTCGTCAGAATACTTAAATTGATTAAAACACTAGCTTTTTTTTTTTACAAAGTAGACAGCAGTTAATATTATAGGTAAATATCTTTCAAGAAAAAACAGTTCTACAAACAGCCAAGTATGAATATGATCTCTAACCTGTTTCTGACATAATATATTCACGAAAAAAACTCCTGAAACTAGATATATAGCTTGCAAACTATTCAGAACCTTTCTATTTTCATAAATATTCCTAATGGCATTCTGCACTATCTTTTTGCCTGAATACTTTCCAATCAAGTGATCTCATGAAAGAATATAGAAATTTAGCACTTAGAAGGCTCCTGTTTTTCACAGTATATTTATGTGTCATCAATTGAATGTCAATTACTAACTTCAGTTCTTATGAGAACTTTTGAGCCCAAGCAGTTTTGAAAGATTCATTGTCATTGCTGTTGTTGAGGTACACACTTATCTATAGATACTTTCCTGAAAGGCTTGAAACCAGAGCAAAGAAAAGCATTTGCAATTTTCAGTAGGCTCAGAAATAATAACAGATTCTGAATTTTCACTGAAAATTGCTCTCTTACCATTTGTTTGACATATTATTGGTTCAAGGCAAATTGTTACATGAAAAAAATAGAACTAATATTTCCTTTGTGAAATGCTGATAATTAATGGTTATTATATCTAAGCTTACAGCTATATAAGAACAGTATAAAAATTGTCTTAAATCAAATGGCCAATTTGCCAACATTGTATGTCATTAACACTTTATCATTTCACAATTACAGAAGAGCTCTCTTAATCTCCCTCCACTTAACTGAGTTTCAAGATGAACCAACATCGTTTACAATGACTGGTGTGGTTTATGCACATAGGCTCAGGGTTCCCTAACTATATTCCAGAACACATCACTTACTTGTTCCCTCAACAATCAGGATGTATCAAGAAGGGATTGTGGGATGGGCGTGGTGGTTCATGCCTATAATCCCAGCGCGTTAGGAGGGAGGCCATGGTGGAAGGATCACCTGAGTCAGGAGTTCGAGACCAGCCTGGCCAACATGGTGAAACCCCGTCTCTACTAAAAATACAAGAAAATAAGCGGGCATGGTGATGCATGCCTGTAATCCCAGCTACTCAGGAGACTGAGGCAGGAGAAGCCCTTGAACCCAGAGCAGAGGTTGAAGTGAGCTGAGATGGCACCACTGCACTCCAGCCTGGAAGACAGAGTGAGACTTTTGTTTGGAGTATTTCTATAAGCGTCACATGTTCAGATGTCACATAAAGAAAACTTATTATTAAAATTTGACTTTCCCAGTTTCTTTCATATTTAAGAACAGCTCTAGTTACATGTGACTACCTCTTCCAGAGACTAACTATAATAGGGGAGTAAATATCTGGTAATGTTTGTACTTATTTGAAAAAAAAAATTCCATTCTAGAACTTTAAGACCTTGAGTTATTTGAAAAATTACTGTGAAAAAAAGAAAAAGATGACCTTATCTTACATGTTAGATTCCTGATTCCTTGCTAAAACATTTATGAAATACAAATTAGGTACCTCAGAAAAGGAAATGTCAAATAAAGAAGAAATCTGTGGGATCAGAGATGATGGTATGTTTAAATTTTTTCCATTAATTTTTCACAAAAATTTCATTACTTATTTGTCTCACAGGTACAATAAGTTTTTCTCTTTTCAAATTAGCCATTTATAGCTTTTCACCCTATGGGCAGAGTGCTTTTACAATCCTTAGTCATGACTGTTTTAAGATTTGAGGTTTGGCTCTACTGTTTTAACTATAGTGTTTGGTGTATTATAAAACAGGAAACAATGGATGAAGTTGATTATTATTGCTATTTTATTATAAATGAGCTTTTATTTAAAGAGAGATTCTGGCATCAAACTAAGTAAGTTATATTTTATAAATGCTAAGTTTAGTTATAATGTTCAATACTGCCAGCATACATTGTCTTTCAGGGTAGTATAAAAATAAGACCCTCTTGTTAGAAGTTTTTCAAGGGCCTGAACTTTACACCTTTTATACCATTTCCACATGAGGACAGTCTTTCCACTTTATAGTGCTAATAAATTTTCTCTGAGGAAAAAGTAATAGGTTTTAGTCATGCTTTCAGGAAAAATCTTGTAGGTTCAGATAAAATTTAACCTTTGACTAAACTTGATTTGTACTCTAAAAGTTAAAAAGACAGAATCCAGATAAATGAAAACAATATACATTTAAAATATTTCTTTAAAAATAACTAATATTGAAGTAATAAAGAATGTGTAATTGTAGCGCTAAATGCCACTCATTATTTTAAAACCTAAGAGATGAAGAGGGTCATGTAAACATACAAATAATACAGTCAGAAAACATTGCCATTGAGAAAATTTACAGATTAAATACAGGCATTTAATCAATCACATGAGACCAACTTCATAAATACAGTTTTGGGTTGCCCATTGCAAACATAGGAACTACAAATTTTAGAATTGGAAGTGGAATCAGAGATTTACCAGTAGAACATTCTCCACCCAACATATAAATCATTCAATGTAAAAATAAATTGAATAATGTACTTAAGTAATGCCATCCCTAATTCTTCTTGAGTTTTCCAATGACTGAAAGAGTCTCTTCAGAAAATATTCATGTATTATTTATAATTTTATAATATTCTCTCATTCCTGTGAAAATTTTTTGGATGCAACTTCTACCCACTGATTATAGTTTAATTTCTACATATCTTATTCAACAAAATTTTGAGTGACTAATTTTTATTAGGCAACATATTTCTTTTTATATACATCTGATGAAAAGAAGGCAAATAGCTCAGAAGACTCATTGAGGCAGCATTCATAGGAAAGAAATAATAAAGACAGGAAAAGAGGTGTTAGAGTTATGCATTGTCTACCATTATCTGAAGCAGTGCAAAGCAAAGCATCAGGGACGGATGTCAGATTCCAGAAAGGTGATCTTTACAACTCTTCGCTCCTTTCCTAGAATGATTAGGGGATGGAATATAATAATACCAAGTGCTCTCTTGTCAATTCAGTGTTCAGAGAAAGTGACGGTACAACGGGTACCACTATTCCTCTGAAGAGAGGGCAGTCAAGCTCCAAGCCAAAGATTACAGTAAGATTTGCCATGTTTGTGTTTATGATTAGGGGGCTGGAAGTTCTTGACTAAGGTGAATGATTATTTTAAGTACCTTACTGGGAGCATAACAATTTCTCACCAGTTCTGTAGGAGGCCAGTTTCTTTTCTCTGAAACCAGCCTTAATGGAACCAGGCTTGGAAAAGTTAAACCTTACCTATCAAAATATTTTCAAATATTTGAAGGCAACTTGCATTTTCCTGTAAGCTTTCCTCTTTACTTAAATGCACAGATAGTCTGCTGCAAGCCTTGAACTCCTTGAGTGCAAGGATCATTTTTTCATCCCATTATCAAGCACAGTTTTGTTTTATAGTGTGCACTTCAATGTTTGTAGAATGCATGGATAATCATAGCCCTAATCCAGGGTATTGGTTCAGCATTCTTTCCATAACACTGAAGTTTATGGAGGTTCCTCTTTAAGTTGGTGCCCAAAACCAGGAACCATCTTCCAGATCTGTGCGTTTAACTTTCTTTTATATTGCCATATGTAAATTAGCACAGTCCAAAAGTAGATTTCTTTTAAGTATCAGAGTAACACTGTTGGCTCATTTTGAGATTGTGGTCATATAAAATCTTGGACCTTTCCATGAACTCTTGTCATTCCAGAAGACCAACCCATATATTACATTCAGAAGAAAAATGGTCTCATCTTGTAGCAGTCACATCCTGTACTTAGAAAATTATCTTTTGAACTTAAAATCAGGGCCACATGTTTTCTCCTTTATACTTCATCTTGCTGCTCTAAGTTTATTTCATTCTAACAAGCTCATTTTGCATTCTAAATATATCACCCTACATATCAGCAACCCCACATTGCCTTCTGAAGACTTGACAAACATATCTTAATAGTAAACAAAATCAATCATTTACAAAAGAACAAGTTCCTGTGGCTGGTACAATCAACTAGGTTTGACATATATGCACTCATCACAATTAATTTGATTTTTTTTTGTTTAGCAACTATGAGTTAGAGCAACCCACGTAAAACAAAACAATATGAAAAATGTGCAGCTATTCTATTTTCTTAATCTTGCAATCTACCATCATATGAAGGAGTGTGGAGTGAAGAACTAAGAATGAGTTTGCAACTTAGATTCAGATTTCCACTCCAACACTCTATAACTGTGTATGTTCAGCATTAGCCACTCTGAGTTTAACTTTTCCTTATTTACCAGAACGATGTTGGCGTGAGCTTTGAGATGGTGTGTGTATTGCACCATTGCAGTTCTGGGACTTGCAATAGAAATGAATTAAATATTGAATTCCTCCTCTATATAGAAAGGACACAAGAACATTTTGAACTATGGATATTATAAACCTGTTTGCTATTTGTTGATCGCCTTGTCTTTACATTTTATTTGATCTCAATACATCTGAAGTTTATGGTTTTTTAGAGTCTGTATTTTAGTTTTTAAATATTGAGATAGCTGTACACCTCTATTATTTTGGGCCTGTGTTTGTCCAGGACTTCTGAGAAGCAGATGCCAAGATAGGATTAAATGTGCAAGGGTATTATTAGAGAACCAACTGTGTGGAGGAAAACGAAGAGGGAACAGAGAATTTCTGAAAGAGCCTTGGGACCTAAGTGAAGGAGAGGGAGAAAAAGTTGTATAGAAGCCCTCTAGACAGTTGAGCAGGCTAAGGAAGTATTAGTAAAACCATCCGAGAGTCCTTCAGCCAAAGTCAAAGTCCTCAGAGCAGTCTGTGTCTGCTGGCGGCAGTGCTGTCTTTGTATGCTTTCCATGCTTGGTCATTGGCTGGGGGCACTCTGTGGGAAGCATGGCTTCAAAGCAAACGCTAAGATAGAATAGAGAGCACTGTAGCATCAGTCTTAATCAATTAAACCTCCTGTTGTTGGAGGTCTATGAGGCAGGGCCTCTTTGAAAAGTCTGGGTCTTTATTAAAGAAAAGTGTAAATAATGTATAGTATAGATCATGATGAACTGTATCCTAATAAGGATTTTTTTTAAGTAACGTTAAAAACATGACTTTTTGGAGGTCTTGTTATAAATGAGCATCTGCAAAATACAAAGATAATAACTCATATTAATGTTTTGACGTCATGTAATATAAATAGGCATAAGCACGATTAAAAAGAATAAGAAGAGAAGAAGAAAATGGAAAGGAAGGAGGAGAAGTAAGAGGTAGAAAATGCTCCCACAAACAACACTGATACAAAATACCACCAAAAGCTATGAAACATATGGTGCATTATAAGGGACCTTGGATATTGCCCAATACAAACTTCTCATCTTAAAAATTAGGAGACAGAAGCAGAGATTTAAGTAATTTTGTCAAGGCTACGCAAATCCTTGACTTTGTTCTTTACATTGTATCACTTTAGTAGCTTAGTTACCAAATGGTAATTATAAAAGGTTCTAAAACATAGTAGGTAAATGACCTGGCAGTGTAGGATTGAATCTTATTACCAACACATGGTCACATAAAGCAAATTGATTTAATGTCACCTATAATATTCATAGTCTAGAAAAGCAGACATTGTTGCTGTTTTCTAAAGAGCTAAAGCAGAATCTCAAGTACAGTTCGGCAGAGACTGGCAAGCCATTTTCTGTCCTAAACACAGGGAATAATTGTGAATAATAAAGCTCCTTGATTACAAAAGAGTTCATTGTTAAAGCTATGATATCACATTGATAATGCAAGTGCAGTTCTCCAAACAGGTGAGTGGAAGATGAATGGAAGAACTTCACAGTTGACATGGGACCCAGGGAGAACTAGCACTGTTTTTTGATATTTTTGCAGGGTTACTTAAGTGTGTGCTGTAAAGAGGGTAAGGCTAGTTGGAACATCAGAGCATCATCTAAACTGCCAGTTTTGGATGGCAGATAACTTCACAAAGGTCCACTTTCAAACTCTGTTAATTATAAATATTTTTAACGCAAATGTGCTTCCAGTGAAAAAATTTTTCATTAATCCAATGTCCTCCTTAGAATTTAAGCATGAAATAAGCAAAACAAAGAAGCAATAATAGTCACTTATACTTTGGAAACTCACCAAACAAGATATAATCTTTTTTTATTACAAATTTTGAAATAGTGAAGAGTCAAAATCATTCAGATACAAGATTATGGAGTTTGCTTGTTTATTGTTTTTTTTACAGAATAACTCTATCTATAGTTACATAGTTTTAAATTTCTAATGTCTACAAGTGGAATTTTTCTTTTCTTCTAATTTCTGAGAATGAGCAAATGGAAATAATGCTGATTATACTTAATGAGAATAAATATAATGTCATAAAGATATTATTATGTAAAATGTATAAACGGAAAGTATGAAATAAAAACAGTGAAAACTTGACTCACAAATTGTTTCTGACAAAGTTATTCAATTGGTGTTGCAGAGACCACACCTCCATTCCCTTCCACACCTGTCCCCATCCCCCATTTCTGTGCTCCACTGCAAGGCAATTCAGTCTTCCGAGGTTTATACTCCACAGTTCTTGACAACAGGAGATAAATCCTGTAATTTTGTTAATCCCCACTGAAATGCTGGGATTATTGCCATATGACTCTTAATGTAAAAAACTAAGCAACAAAAATATGTTTAGCAAATATAGCCATGAATTATTTCAGTAAAACTGTTAACTATGGTTTGTGTTTAAAAAGATAAATAAATGTAGAAATACAAGAACACAACAGCCTCTGTAAACTGAGATTAGTGTTCCATTACAAAACTAGAAGGTACTATGAGTTTTGGTATAAATTGAGGGAAGAGGGGCTTTAGTTGTTATGCTTTCTAGTAAAAATTTTAGCTTCAACCTAAACCATTATAATAATAAGCATTGAATTCTATGTTTTCTTGTCACTAACAAGCAAAGAATAATATCTCATTATATTATGTATTGAAAGATTCTTCTTTGAACTCAAAAAGAAGAGAAAGGCTGTCAACATATCCATCTTTAAAGAATATAAGATATTAAGAATGAGAAATTTCCACCATTCATTCAGTTTTTAACACCATTAATTAGGAATTTTATCACTCAGTATTATGGACATTTAACAATTTGCCTAAGGCCATGGTGACAAATCTACAGAAGGACAAATAATCTACAAATTCTTGATTTTTACTTCATAACCCACAACAATAGGCCACCCAGTTGCTGAATATTTGTAAACATTAAGAGAAACACCTAAGGGTCAGTTTTAGAAGACAAATGCCATCACACAGTTTAAATTACCAGGAAACAAAAGAAAATAATAAATAAAATCAACAAGGCCTTCATAAAGGAGGCAGTTTTCCATTTCTAGACACAATTATTTATTTATAAATAAACTTATTTTTAGTTGAGTTTCAGGTGCTTTTACAGCTACAAGCTGATGACTGAAAGTGACCATTGATATCACTTACTCTATTCCCTGTTTCCCTAAGTGGCACTTAAATACTCCTATCCAATTGATGACTGTACTTCAAGTGACTGCCAAAGAAGGGGATCCCTAATCTCTCAGTTGGAAATTCAAAGTTGTCTTGTGTACAGGGAGTTATAATAAAGTAACTTAAATTATTCTGAAGTATTTAGATTTAGAGAAGAATTAGTCATTATCCTTCTTCATAATAGCATTAATATTTTTGAAGTGAATCTCTGTATTTGATCTTCCATACTCTAAGAAAGCTGGTAGTGTTTCCCCAGTTCTAGCATTCCCACTTGACAGTCTAGTTCCTTTTGAATTTTTAAGATTGATTTGGTGACTTTTGATTTTTGAATTGATGTACATTGTCCTTTTCTAGCCTTTCCACAGCATTATAGCACAGAAGCAAAATATCACTTAATAGGATTAAGTTACAGATTTAGGTAATGGTAGGCATTGCTCCTCCTACCGGCTAGGTACCAGCTATCTGCAATGTCTGCACATCACTACCTTAGAAATTAGACACCTATAGTTGACCTATTATCAGATTGATGGTTGTAAGGTAAAAATAGACATGAAGACAGATAAAAAAGTTATGTATTTCTTCTTTAACAAAATGAACATCTTGCCTTATGGCTTTAAACCTGTAAAAATGCCAAGGGAGTTTTATTCTTTTCCTTATCTAGCAAACCAAAACTTTAGTGCTTACAAAAATCTGCCCAAGGACATAAAGTCTGGCTCAATTTATTGTAATTTCTTTTAATGAGAGGAAGCCAGAAAATGTGCTAGTTTGGGTCAGGTTGCTAGATTTGCTACAAGAAAAATCAGACCACATTACAAAGATTTATCAGATAATTATGTTTTATTTAACAATAAACTAAAAACTGAGGACTTATAAAGGATTGAAGACAGAGACAGAAAAAAATTGAAATTCTGAATCTGTTGCTTTTCTCAAAATCATATTCACACATCCAAATAAGTAAATAAATGTCTTCTCCATTTCAAGCTATGCAAGGCTCAGGGAAATGTGCAATGGGGCAAGGAAGATCATTGCTTCAAGAAGAGGGTTATAATTATAGTTCTGCCATAGATTTATTCAAACAAATCACTTATATTTGATAAGTGGGATTGATAAATCACTTACATGGGATACATTCAGATCAGCTGGTTTTCCTCTTTGATACTAAAACATAGTTTCTTCTGTAAACTGCAAAACAAAATTTATTAAAAGAAAGAAGACAAATGTCTTTATCAACTGATGACACTTTCTTAAATATAATATGCTTACTAACAGTACATTATTTGGTCCAAACGAGAGTTAATTCTAGCATAGTTAAGAATTTTCATACTGGCAAATGTCCTGTTGGTTTCACATGAGTACCTGAATGTCTTTCACAACGTATATTTATGCATCTGGTCAAATGTTATTGAAGTATCTCTGTTCTTTGTCATTTCTTTGTTAGTAGATAGGGGATAGGGCTCATTGAAGAGATTATCTATCTATCTATCTATCTATCTATCTATCATCTATCTATGTATCTATCCCTTCTCCAGTTTCTTGAAGGATAATTTCTTATACATGGGGAAATATTCTTGAAAATATTTGGATGTGGTTTCCATATGTGTATATGATTTCATAACAACATTAATTTGTATATGGATTATATATATATATTACTTACCTGATATGATTTGGCTGTGTCCCTACCCAAATCAATTCTTGAATTGTAGTTCCCATAATCCCCATGTGTCATGGGAGGGACTCAGAGGAAGACAATTGAATCTTGGGGTCGGTTACCCTCATGCTACTGTTCTCATGTGAGTGAGTGAGATCTCAAGAGGTCTGATGGTTTTATAAGGGGCTTCCCCCTTCACTTCACTCTCATTCTCTCTCCTGACACCGTATGAAGAGGTGTCTTTTGCAGTAAGTTTCCTGAGGCCTCCCAAGCCATGCAGAGCTGTGAGTTGATTAAACTTATTTCCTTTATCAATTACCAACTGTCAGGTATTTCTTTATACCAGTGTGAGAATGGACTAATACAGTAAACTGGTACTAGTAGAGTGAGGTATTGCTATAAAGATACCCCAAAATGTGGAAGTGACTTTGGAACTGGATAACAAGCAGAGGTTGGAACAGTTCAGAGGACTCAGAAGAAGACAGGCAAATATGTGAAAATTTGGACCTTCCTAGAGATGTGTTGAATGGTTTTGACCAAAATGCTGATATGGACGATGAAGTCCAGGCTGAGATGCTTAGATGGACATGAGAAACTTATTTGGGACTGGAGCACAGGTGACTCCTGCTATGCTTTAGCAAAGCAACTGGTGGCATTTCACCCCTTCCCTAGAGATCTGTGGAATTTTGAACTTGAGAAACATGATTTAGGGTATCTGGCAGAAGAAATTTCTAAGAAGCAAAGTTTGACTTTGGTGCTTGTAAAAACATTCAATTTTATTCATTCACAAATACATGCTTTGGAATTGCAACTTATATTTAAAAGGGAAGCAGAGCATAAAATTTCAGAAAATTTGCAGTCTGATGATACAATAGCAAAGAAAAATCCATTTTCTGAGGAGAAAGATAAGCCAGCTGCAAAAATTTGCATAAATAATGAGGAGCCAAGTGTTAATTGCCAATACAGTGGGGAAAATGTCTCCAGGGCATGTCAGAGGTACTCACAGCAGCCTCTCCCATCACAAGCCTGGAGGCCTAGGGGGAAAAATGGTTTTGTGAGCCAGCAGTCTTGGGACTTGGAACCCTGCTTCCCAGCTGTGGCTAAAAGGGGCCAATGTACAGCTCAGGCCATTGCTTCAGAGGGTGCAAGCCCCAAGCCTTATCAGCTTACTCATGGTGTTGGGCCTGTGGGTGTACAGAAGTCAAGAACTGAGGTTTGGGAGTCTCCTCCTAGATTCAGAGGATATATGGAAATGCCTGGATATCCAGGCGGAAGTATGCTGCATATATGCAGTCCTCATGGAGATCCTTTACTAGGACAGTACAGAAGGGAAATGTGGGGTTGGAGCCCCCACAGAGAGTCCTCACTAAGGCACTGCCTATTGGAGCTGTGAGAAGAGGGCCACTGTCCTTTATACCCCAGAATTCTTGATCCACTGAGAGCTCGCATTGTGCATCTGGAAAAGCCAAAGCCACTCAACACCAGCTTGTGAAAGTAGCCAGGAAGGGGGATGTACCCTGCAAAGCTACAGAAGTGGAGATGCCCAAGACTATGGGAACCCAACTCTTGTGTCAGTGTGACTTGGATGTGAGATAAGGAGTCAAAGGTGATCATTTTGGAACTTTGAGATTTGAATGCCCCACTGGACTTCAGACTTACATGGGGGCCTGTAGCCTCTTAATTTTGGCCAATTTTTTCCCATTTAGAATGGGTATATTTACCCAATACCTGTACCCCCATTGTATCTAGGAATTTGCTTTTGATTTTACAGGCTCATAGGTGAAAGGGACTTGCCTTGATGAGACTTTGGACTTGGATTTTTGAGTTAACACTGGCATGAGTTAAGACTCCAGTGGACTGTTGGAAGGGTGGGATTGTGTTTTGAAATGTGAGGACGGTGAGGACATGATGTTTGGAGGGGCCAGGGGTGGAATGATCTTGTTTGGCTGTGTCCCCACCCAAATTTCATCTTGAAATGTAATTCCCATAATCCCCATGTGTTATGGGACAGAGCTGGTGGGAGGTAATTGAATCATGGGGGCAGTTACTCCCATGCTGTTCTTCTCCAGGAGTGTGTTCTCAAGAGAGCTGATGGTTTTATAAGCGGCTTCCCCCTTTGCTCTCATTGTCTTTCCTGCCAGCCTGTGAAGAGGTGCCTTCCACCATTATTGTAAGTTTCCTGAGGTCTCCCCAGCCATATGGAACTGTGAATCAATTAATCCTTTTTTCCTTCATAAATTATCCCGTCTCAGGTATTTCTTCATAGCAGCATGAGAACAAACTAATTCATTTCCTAACATACAATGATAATTTTTGCTGATTAAGTTTTAATTATTCATCACTACATGTCATCCTTACTTGGCATTATAGAATACTCTTCATGTGGTCCATGATGTGAAAGTGATTACAATTTTGAAGAGAGAACATTTATATATTATTAGATCAGTACTTGCATGTATATTAGAGAATAAATATTTCTTGTCTTGTTATTACCATCTATATTGTTTTGTGACTAGGCTTGGAATATATCACAAAATCAAATCAATGGTTATGCACACAACTTTGGTCACACTATAACTTTGGTGCATGCTTCTCTTGACAAGGTTTCATGCCATTCATCCTTGTTTCTGGGTTATACATGTGTTCATCTCAAATCCCTGTTAATGGAAGCCTTCTAAATAAAACTAATTATGTGAGCCTCTATGAACTATACAAATGGACATAGTTTAAACTACCCAGATGAATAATGAAGTTAATAATGCTATAAATATTATCTGAAGATTAGTGAATATGGTTGCTTTTAATTAAAAAATAAAACAAAAAACATTAATCAGATTAAGATCTGAATTGTCAAGTTTTACATTCTTTTAGAATCTGTATTAGAAGTGTTTTCATAAAATACATCCCTGAAGTAAATTTACTTCTCTGTGAGCAAAATTTAGTTTTTTAAATCAGTTATAAATTGTTAGTACTTATTCTCCAGTATCTACTTTTAGATTAAATAGCTGTTTGTTGTTTATATGAAAGAGTAAGGAGATGAATGGTATCTTTATAAGGAAGAAAAACATCTGGAACCACAGAGTAAACTCTACATATCATTACAGCCTTGTCCTGTGGAAAAGGCAGATCTTTTCAAATGTCTTGAAAACATTATGGTGAGGCTGGTTGTTCTAGAGCTATCTTCTTGTCTTCCTGGTCACTGGCTCATGGTCACGTCTGTTTTTCTGATTTCCTGATGGACTTTCTCACTACATTGCTACATAAACCACTAGACTGCACTGTCAATCACATTTGGAAATGTTTTCTGGGATGTGGTTTTTGCATTTTTTTTTCTTTTCTCTCTGGCAGCAAATTCAATTCCAGCTAATCTTGCTTCTTTTGTTGTTGTCGTTGTTGTTGTTGTTGTTGTTGTTGTTGTTTCTGGAATAGATTTCTTGGATCGGCTCTCTCCTTTGGTCTTGGTTTGCTTAAATTTAAACATAGCTGGCACTTATTAAATAGAAAATACTGAACAAACTTTTGTTTAAGTTTCCAAAATAATTTCTAAAATTATCTCTTATTTTGACTTAACTGTAATACGGATGAAAGCAAGTTAATACTTTCTCATCATTCAATGCTATTGTAGATTTTCTTTTCTTCTTTAACAAGCACGTAAGATTCAAATTTTGCTTGTCATTGCTCTTCTATAAGCATGTAATTTTTATAAAGAAAATATATTGTGATTAATGTAAAAATGATACTTAAAATATTCTTACAGTATTTGCCTAAGCATTTTGCACAATGTGGTCATGTTTTGCCAAAATTTCTTTTGTATGTTTATTTATTTTACAAATACAATTGTACATAATAAATGTGTATAACATGTTGTTTCAAAATATGTATACATTGTGGAATGACTACATTCATCTAATTAACATATGTAGTAGTTCACATACTTAAAATGTTTTTGTGGTGAGAACACATAAAATCTACCCTCTTAGCAATTTTCAAGTATATAATATTTTGTTATTACCTACAGTCATCATGTTGTACAATAGATAGCTTGAACTTATTTCTCCTATCTGACTGAAATTTTGTTTCCTTAACCAACATCTCTTAACCCTTTTTCCCCCCACCCTCATCCTCTGATAACCATCTTTCTATCCTCCACTTTTATGAGGGCAACATTTTTCAATTTCACATTTAAGTGACATCCTGTAGAATTTATCTTGCCCTGCCTAGTGTGGTTCACTAAACATAATGTCCTCAAAGTTTATCTATGTCAAAAATGACATGATTTCCTTTTTAGAGGCTGAATAGTATTCCATCGTGTATATAACGCATATTCTTTATCCATTTATTCTTTGACAGACACTTTGGTTGGTTCCAATCTTTGCTATTGTGAATAATGCTGCAATGAACATGGAAGTGCAGATATCTCTTTGATATGCTGATTTCATTTCTTTTGGAAATATGCCTAGTGGTGGGATTGTTGGATCATGTGGTAGTTCTGTTTTTGATTTTTGGAGGAACCTCAATTCTGTTTTTCATAATGGCTATACTAATTTACACTCTCACCAACTGGGTTCAGTGTTCCCTTTTCTCCATGTCTCACTAACACTTGTTATCTTTTGTCTTTTTGATAATAACCATTCTAACATTAGTATAGTGCTAACTCATTGTGGATTTGATTTGCATTTCTCTGATTATTAGTTATATTGAGCATTTTTTTTTCAGATTGCTGTTGACCATTTGTAAATTTTAAGAAATATCTATTCAGATTTTTTGACCAATGTTTAATTGGGTTGTTGTCTTACTGTTGAATTATTTGAGTTTCTTGTATATTTTGGATATTAATCCCCTTTAGCACATACATGATTTACAGATATTTTTTTCCCATTCTGTAGGTTGTCTGCTTATATTGATGTTTTCCTTGGCTGTGCAGAAGCTTTTTAATTTAACAAAATCCCATGTATCTCTTTTTGATTTTGTTTCCTATGCTTTTGAGTTCATATCCAAAAAATTATCACCCAAACAAATGTTATTGAGTTTTGTCCCTATATTCTCTTCCAGTAGTTTTACAATTTCAGGATTTACATTTATGTATTTAATCTATTTTAATTTGATTGACATGCATATATGGTATATGATGAGGGTCTACTTTCATTTTTCTGTATGTGGATATTCAGTTGTTCCAGCACCCTTTATTGAACAGACAGTTTTTTCCCCATTGTAAGGTCTTGGCACCTTTCCTGAAAATCAATTTACCATAAAAGCATGGACTTATTTCTGGGCTCTCTATTCTGTTTCATCAGTCTGTGTGCTGATTTTATACCAGTACTATGCTGTTTTGATTACTATATCTTTGTATTATATTTTGAAGTTAGGGAATGCTTTGCTTCCAGTTTTGTCTTTTTTGTTCCTGATTGCTTTAGATATTCAGGGTCATTTGTGACTGTTTACAAATTTTATTTTTTATTCATATGGAAAATGTTATCAGTATTTTGATAAGTATTGCATTGAACCTGTAGATCACTTTGAGTAACAGAGATATTTTAATAACATGATTTCTCACAATTTGTGAACATAGAATATCTTTTCATTTATTTGCCTTCTTCAGTTTCTTTCATCAATGTTTTATAGTTTCCAGTGTAGAAGTTTTTCACCTCCTTGATTATTTTTTCCTAAGAATTTCCTTTGATAACTATTGTAAATAGAACTGTTTTCTTTACTTCTATTTCAGATAGTTTGTTGTTAGTATATAGAAATGCTACTGATTTTTGTATGTTGATTTTATATATTGTAACTTTACTACATTTGTTTATTAGTTTTATCTCTTTTGTCAGTTTTTAAGGTTTTCTATATATAAGATCATATTATGTGCAAATAGGGACAATTTAACTTCTTCCTTTCTAATTTGCATACCTTTTATTTCTTTATTTTGCCTAAATATTCTGGCTACAACTTCCCATGCTACACTGAATAGAAGTGGTGAGAATGGGCATCCTTGTCTTCTTTCTAATAACAGAGGAAAAGCTTTTAAATTTTCACCCTTAAGTATGATGTTAGCTGTGGGTTTGTCATATATAGCTCTAATTGTGTTGAGGTATTGTCTTTCTATATCTAATTTATGGAGAGGTTTTATCATGAAAAGACACAGGATTTAATCAATTATTTTTCTGAATCTATAGAGATAATCATATGGTTTTCTGTCCTAAAATTTGTTAATGTGGCATATCACATTTATAGATTTGCATATGTTGAACCATTCATATATTTCTGAGATCAATCCTACTTTATTGTGGTTAATGATTCTTTTGATATTCTGTTCAATTAAATTTGCTAATATTCTGATGAGGATTTTTGCATCTATGTTCATCAGAGATATTGGCCTGTATTTTTTTTCCTGTAATGTCTTTTTCTGGCTTTGGTATCAGGGTAATGCTGGCATATTAAAATGAATTTAGAAGTATTCTCTGTTCTTCAATTTTTTGCAAGAGATTGAGAAAAATTGATGTTAGTCTTTTTTGAAATGTTTGGTATAATAAAGCAGTGAAGTCATAGGTTCTGAGCTTTTATTTGATAGAAGGTGTTTTATTACTAATTCCATCTCCTAACTAATAGTTTGTCTGTTCAAATTTTCTATTTATTTATAATTCAATCTTGGTAGTTGCATGTGTCTAGGAAATTATTCATTTCTTCTAGGTTATCCAATTTTTGGTGTATAGTTGCTCATGGTAGTCTCTTATAATTGTCTGTATTTCTATGTGAATTGTTGTAATATCTTCTCTTTTATTTATAATTTTATTTGAGTCTTCTTTTTTTTAGTAGTTAGTCTAGCCACAGGTTTGCTGATTTTGTTCTTTTCAAAAATAAAAAAAACTCTGAGTTTTGTTGATCCTTTATATTATTTTTTCTCTCTTATTTATTTCTGTCATGATCTTTATTATTTTCTTTACTAATTTTGAGCTTAGTATATTCTTGTTTTTCTACTTTAAGTGTACTAAAGATTGTTTATTTGGAGTCTTTCTTCTTTTGGGATATAAGTATTTATTACTATAAATTTTTTTGTTAGAACTGCCCTTGCTGCATCTCATAAGTTGTGGTATATTGTGTTTCCATTGTCATTTGTCTCAATATATATATTAATTTTTTAATTGCTTCTTTGACTCATTGTTTTTCCAGAAACATGTTGTTTAACTTCCAAGTACTTTTTAACTTTCTGAAATTGCTTCCATTATTGATTTCTAGTTTTACACCTTTGTGGTCAGAAAAGATACTTGATATAATTTCAATCTTCTTAATTTTTTTTAAGATTTGTTTTGTGGACTAGCATATCATCTATCCTGGAGAACAGTTCACCTGCAGTTGAGAGGAATATGTATTCTGTAGCTGGATGGACAGCTCTGTATATGTCTGTTAGATTCATTTGGTCTAAAGTGTAGCTCACATTTGATGTTTTTATAACGATTTTCTCCCTGGAGAATCTCTTCATTGTTAAGAGTAAAGCCTTGAAGTCATTTACTATTATTGCATTACAGTCCAATTCTCCTTTTATTAGTATTTGCTTTATATATTTAGGTGCTCCAATGTTGGGTGTATATTTATAATTGTTGTATCTTCTTCCAGAATAGACCCCTTTTTCAGTATATTTAGCTGGACCTAAAGCTTATTTTATCTCATAGAAGTGTAGTTACTGCTCTCTTTTGGTTTCCATTTGCTTAGAATATCTTTTTTTCATCCCTTGATTTTTAGTGTATGTGTGTCCTTACAGGTAAAACAAGTCTCCTGTAGACAGCATAAAGTTGGGTCTTGTTTTTCCATCTAGTCAGCACTCTATGCCTTTAGATTGAATAATTTAATCCATTTACAAATAAGGTGATTATTGGTAGGTAAGTAATTACTACTGCCATTTAAAAAAATTGTTTCCTGGCTTTTTTGTACATCCTTTGTTTCAGTCTTTCTCTTTTGTTGTCTTACTATGTGGCTAAGTAATTTTCTCTAGTGAAATGTTTTGATTCCTTTATTTTTATCTTTTGTGTATTTACTATAGGTTTATGCTTTGTGGTTATGATGAGGCTTACAAAAAACAACTAATAGTTATAAAAAGCTATGTTAAACTGAATTTATACTGATTTCATTTAAAAACTACATTTTTACTCCAGCATCAGTTCTGATATTTTAACTTTTTGATTTCACAACTTAAATGTTTCTATATTGTATGTCACTTGCCAAATTATTGTACCTATTATTTTTAATAATTTTATCTTTTAACCTTCATACTAAAGAGATACGTGATTTATGTAATATCATTACAGTATTAGAGTGTGTGATTACTTTTTCCAGTGAGTTTCATACTTTCATGTTTTTGTGTTACTATTTAGCATCTTCTCTTTCAGTTTGAAGAACTTCCTTTCTCATTTTTTTGTAATATGCTAATAATGAAATCCCTCAGTTTTTGTCTGGGAAATGTCTTATCGCTTCTTAATTTCTGAAGAAGAGTTTGTAGATACAATATTCTTAGTTAACAGTTATTTTTTTCTCTTTAGCACTTTCAATATATTATCCCATTTTCTTTTTGCCTGTAAAAATTGCTTCTGAGAAATCTGCTGCTAGTCTTATTAGAACTCCCTTATATTTAATTTGCTTCTTTTCTCTGAATGTTTTCAAGATCCTTTGTTTGTCTTTAATTTTTGACAGTTTTGTTATATCTTGGCGTAATCTTGTTCCAATTGAATCTGATTTCAGACTTTTAAGCTTTTTGTATTTGGATATGTATATCTTTCTCCAAATTTGGAAAGGTTTCTGCTGTTATTTCTTTAAATAACCTTTCTAATAATTTGTTTCTCTTCTTCACACAACCCTATAACTCAAGCATTTGTTTCTTCGTATAAACAATGATAACTTGAATATTTGCTCTTTTAATGCTGTCTTATAAATCCAGTAAGCTTTCTTTAGTCCCTTTTATTCTTTTTTATCTTTTGTCCTCTGACTGTATTTTTAAATAACCTGTTTTCAAGTTCACAGGTCTTTCCTTCTGCTTGATCAATTTTGATGTTGATATTCTCCTGCATTTTTAATTTTAATTGTGGAGTTTTTTTCAGCTCTAGAATTGTTTTTGGAGTTTTATTTTAATTTAATTTATCTGTTAAATTTCCAAGTTTCATATTTTAGTACTTTCTTGATTTCATTGAATTGTTTCCCTCTATTTTATTGAAGTTTCCTGAACTTTAAAATAATTATGTCCATGGTGACTGTGAGGTCTCCTGCTGCAGGATTCCAGGGATCCATGGTGAGAGCAGGCCAATCCTTGCCTGCTCAACTCACCCCTTCCCCAGGAGTTACCGGAGGCCAAGAATGTATTCCAGTGTGACACAGCCCCATGCAGGGATCCCAGCTTCTTCCTCTTTCAGACCAGAATCTGTTTCCTCCTTCCATCCACTCTCAATGTCTTCCTTCCAAAGATGTGCTCAGAGTTTGTCAGTCTTCCTTGTGTCCCATTCCGTCAGTGGCAGATGTTCCCCCAGCTGCATCTAGTTGGACACCTTCCTTCTCTGCTTTTTTGAATATACTTTAAAGGTAAAGTCCAGAATATTTTCAGATGGATAGGATATTGGTATAAAAGACAGCTACTCAAATATTGTAAACTGCAAGGCTACATAAATTCACCAAAGGATTAATCACAGATTGAGAAGAGGACTATGTTAGTCTATTTTGCATCACTATAAAGGAATGTCTAAGACTGGGTAATTTATAAACAAATATATATATTTGGCTCGTGGTTCTGCAGGCTGTAAAAGCAAGGTGCCATCATCTTCTGAATTTCTGGTGAGGACTCAGGAAGCTTACAGTCATGGCAGAAGGCAAAGGGGGTGCTGGCATATACACGGTGAGAGCAGGAGCAAGACAGGGAGGTGGAAGTACCAGATTCTTTTAAACAACCAGATCTCATGTAAACTCATAGAGTGAGAACTCATTCATTATTACAGAGATAGCAACAAGCCATTAATGAGGAATCTACCCCCATGTCCCAAACACCTCATAGCAGGCCTCACCTCCAACATTGGGGATTACATTTCAACATGAGATTTGAAGAGAACAAAAATCCAAACAGTATCAAGGACCAAGATTGAGCACTAGAATATTCTAATATTAAAGGGTCAAGGAAAAAAAGAGAAAGAGCAGAGGAGACACAGATAAGCAAGAGGAAAATGAAAAGGACGTGGTAACTTGGAAACCAAGGCAGGAAAATTATATAAAAACAGCAATAATAATCAAGTGTTTTAAAATCAACTATTAATCTACCATGGCTCAATCAAGAAAGTCGAATCTCTTTAAATATTGTACAATAAGAAATGTATTGCTTATACAATTGCAGGAGGAGCTGAAAGCAAGTTCTAAAGGAAGTTAAGAGTTCAGGGAAGAGCTGCTAACCAGCCTGCTGAAAGCATTGGTATGAATGGATAATTTAGAGTTTGCAGGGAAATTGTGAGGAAGCCTGGTCATTCCAGCTGATATCGTAAGACTGCAAAGAACAGCTAAAGCAGAAATCTATGGAAGGCTATTCTCTCTGCATATGGTGGTGGACTTGGCTTGAAGAACTGGTATTTGCAAAGCAAAGCTTCAAGCAGGGAAAGGAAGAGGAAGGAAAAGCTGAAACCCACTGGCATCTTGTGTCTACTTCAATTCTGCCTTCTTAAACGTGTGAATATTTCCTTTTTGGGCAACTCTAACCCAACAGAAGTATAAAGGGTAATATATTCTAGGAATTGTAGTTACAGCTTAGCCACATTGACATGAAATAAAATTATCACAGTCCATCAGTTTTCAACCTGAGAGCTATATACATAGGTTTAAAGCATATTTTACTTTCATATAATGACAATAGCAAAATCTTGTTTTAGCCTAACCTGATAAAACTGTCTCTCATACAAATTAAAACAATATGTCTTTTCAAAAGAAGATATAAAGTTCACATACCACAGTGTCTCTATATATTTGGGTAATGTTCAGTACTTTTCTAGCCAAGCACTGCTCCTCCCTGATATCCTATAACTTATGCACAGAGCTATGACTTCCATCATTATATTAATGTGATATAATTATAACATCTTACCTTAAATATTAAGAATATAAGAAACAGAAAGAAATACAACAAAATTACCAGAACACAAACATATATATGTCAATGTAAAGAATAAATACTCATAACTACTTCAGTCTTCATTTCTACATGTGGTCACATGGTCATAGTTGCAATTTGTATTTTCCTTTTTCCTTTACCTACAATCCATATTCCCTTTGCCCTTAGCAAGAGCTTCAACTAACTGATTTCTTGGTGGTGACCCAAGCCTTCATTTCTAAAGAATCTGTCCCAATAGCAATTTTGGCTGTATTCGCTGTTGTACTTTTTAAATTAAATTTACTTCAGAATATGAAATAACTAAAAGATATCTCGGGGGATCTTCTGCATTCTAGTTTCACCCCTCCTTATCCAGTCCTATCAACATGATTTTTTCCTGATAGAATCGATTCTCCAATCTGTACAGTTACCTTCCTTCCCATTAGTACACTGGCATAAGAAGCCCAAGTGGCCAGGTGGCAGACTCAATTTATAACATATTGTAACCACTGCTGGGTATCCTAATTCTAGCTTTCCACCCTCAGGAACAAAAACCTCTATACCAGAAAAGCACAGTGTTGCAGGAAAAAGAAACAAACATTTGTAGTACATAATAAGGGGTAAAAGTGATGTGATAGAGACTACTGTCATATTCACCCCTTGATTCCCAGGTCAGGGACTCCTGGATATGGGAGAAACAGCCCCATATATTGATTACTGATCCAGAAGATACACCATGTTCTAAAGAACTTTACTCCGTCTCGCAATAGCAACGAATTGTTATCCAGTGGCCGCCATTTCCAAGTCTTCCAAAGGCCATTCTACTTCAGGAAAATTTGGGAAAATCTTGCCTTTTTTCCTGTATATGGTATCTCCTCACAGATCCCATTTGGTACCTTAAATCCTAGAGCTTTCAGGGACTTGAATATTGTTATATGTTTGGGAGAAATGTGATGGGATAGTGATAGGCCTTTAGGAGGATCACCCTTCTCCTGAAAAGCAACCACATTAATAGATGCCATTATAGGTTTTTTTAGGGCAAGGAGATAGTGATTTGCTTTTACTGATGAAGCTCAACAGCATTTAGGGATCTAAGATAGACAGCATCATTGAAATCTGTACACATTTCATCATACTAAATTTTAAAGTTTCACTTCTCCTAATAAATGATATAACTTTAAGATGAAAGTGCAATATTGCAAATTCAATTTACATTGAAATTTAGCTACCCACAGAATTAGACTTTGGATTTGGTTTTCAGAAATTTAAACACTGCTTTATGAGATAAGTCTTGTAGGGTAACTCTGGGAAGCCAAGTATATCGAGATAACAGAGTAGAACTACGAAGAATATCTGGCGGACAAGTCTATTGAACACTGCTGTTGCTTTTGATAAAATGGATCAGCTTGCAATCAAATCTCCCAATTTGGTAAAAGAAAGAAGAGAAACAGCACTTAATGAGCACGAGTCTAAGCATCATACAATATTCAACGAAGTAATAACATCCAGATTTCCTTTTCTGGTAGTAGTGTGAGTTCTATGCTCAGCTGATCTCATTCTGCTTTCTATGAAGATCTCCTGTTATTTACACGATAGGGTCACGTCTGAAAGGGTTTACTGAGGAGGAACTCTGTTTCTGAAAAATGCTTACTTTTTTTTTTTTTTTTTTTGACAGAGGGTTCCTCTATTGCTCAGGCTGGAGTGCAATGGTGTCCTCCTAGCTCACTGCAGCCACGAATTCCTGGGCTCAAGCGATCCTCCTGCCTTATCCTCCCCAGTAGATAGGATTATAGGTGTGTGCCACCAGGACTGGAGGATTTTTAAATTTTTTTTAAATGGGATCTAGATATGTAAAATGCTCATTATTTCATTCAAGAGTGTGAGTTTGTGAACCCAGAGACTGGGGAATGGGTGAAGCTATTCCAGGTCTAATAGCCTCCTTTAGGATTTCTGAGAAAAAGAAAATGCATCCCTTAAAATATTAGCTGGGTATCAAATCCCAAACACTAGTAGGCAGAGTTCAAAATCAATGAAGAACCATACATCATTCAAGGTTCTGGCACTGGGATTTCCATAGAAAAATCTTTGTATCTCCCTTAACTGCAGATAACAGCTTAGGCACCTTTCTCAACAGATTTTGAATTACTAACCAGAGATAAAGGTGTAGAAATAATCAGCCCTTATACAAAGACTGTGGTTCTAGTGGATACTGCATACAGTGGGAGCAATTACTACCTCTGCCTAGATGAAAGGGTATGGCAGACAGATGTCTGGAGAAGGGATCTGAAGGCAGGGATTATCTCTCAAGTTGTCATATTACTTTCAGCTTTGTTTCTATCCTTTATTCTTCTGCTGAACAAACTTTAGCTTAAAGCAGAAAACACAACTAGTTGAAACATGTGAAGCTCAAAATTATTTAACTCTTACTCAGTTTAGACTTCTGTTCTCAGGAAAAAAAGAGCTTTTCTTGACAAAGTGGTGTTTTGCCTTCTTTTATGCTTCTATGTAGTCCTGTTTTAAATACAATGGAAATATGACTTTAGTGAGGGTCACAGAAATAAACTTACACAACACACATATTTTTCTGTTTCTTGACTTTGTAATTTACAGTTTAAATCCTAAGGTAAATAGGATGCATTTCAAACAACTGTTTTACATCCATACAAAGACAGTCACTTTCCTAGCTAAGGAAGAAAGACCCACATTTTTCTTCAGTCAATTCTACATTGTAAAGTTTCAACTTTACACTGTTCCACCTCTTTCGCCATGTTTCATATACTCTCCACTTTTAGTCCAGCTATCGTTTTAGCAAATAATTTGTGAAGGTATAAGATAATAGTACCTCATATGTAACACACCTCATATGTAACACACCTCATGTCTCCACTTTTTGGCATGAGTCACTTCGGTAAAATCCATCTTGCAACTAAGCTTGGGAAATCTAGAAATATAAGGGAGTTAACACATTCTGGAGAAACATCTGGATTGATGGAGATAAGAGCTGGTGGATGAATATTCCCCTTTTTCGTCCTTTGGACAGACGATTCTGAGCATATATATATACACCTTAGTGTTCTTTAGGAGGTCCTTGTAAAATCAAGATCACATTGCCCTGCTTTAAACAACTTGGGAATGTACCCTTGTGTTAATTTTCTCTCTTTCTTGGTTCTTTTTTCCCAATCTCCAATCCTAATTCTGGGGATAAATTCGCAAAATACTCCACCTGTCCTTATATACTTGTCCCAGGCAATTCTTTCTGGAGAACTCAGGCTGAGGCAACTCCACTCCTGTATATAATTACTGTTTGATTTGGAATATTGTTAGTAGTCAGCAAGTCCACAATGCTTCAGCCTAGCTGAATTCAAAACTTCAAATAAAGGCCATGAGTGGTGGCTCACGCCTGTAATCCTAGCATCTTGGGAGGCCAAGGTGGGTGGATCACCTGAGGTTGGGAGTTTGAAACCAGCCTGACCAACATGCAGAAACCCCGTCTCTACTAAAAATACAAAAAGTTAGCCAGGTGTGATGACACGCTCCTGTAATCCCAGCTACTAGGGAGGCTGAAGCAGGAGAATTGCTTGAATCCAGGATGCGGACGTTTCAGTGAGCAGAGATCGCGCCATTGCACTCCAGCCTGGGAAATGAGAGAAACTCCATCTCAAAAAAGGAAAAACAAAACAAAACAAAAAAAAATTCGAATAATCTATAAGGATTCTAGCTCCATGCATCTGCTTCCACTTATATAATTTCATTCAGGCAGACAATTTCACACAGTGGTACAGTTACCACCAGCAGCTCTTAGTTCTTATCTTCTATTCTAAGGGAGTTTAATTAGAAATAAAATGCCTGCATGTTTTCATCCAAAATTGCAATATTGTGTCCAGTTGGCCTGGCTTACATCACATCCCAGGCTCAATTAGTCACTGGCCAGGGTATGGAAGGCTTTGACCTCTGGAATAATTGAAAGAGGAGAGGGAGGTATAGTTCCTCAAAGAAAAATCAGTTTACCATTCCAAAATAACAACAAATATTTAATATTCATTACTTCTCTTTATTGTGTTCCTCTTATTGCTCTCTCCATGCTATTTTAGCAATATAGACTTTTACAAACGATTATTATTACCATACAGTAAATTGGCTTCCTTGTTTATTATGGTTTACCTTATCTTGTCTAGAACAAAGAATTTTTTAAGAAAAAGAATGAAGTAAAATATGTTAAAGAAATTAAAATAAATAAAAAATAAAAGAATGTGAAAAAATATGAAACCAGGAGTTAGAATAGGTACTGAAGATATCCTCAACTCACATTAGAGGGTATCTATAAACTTGACTGTAAGCTTTCTAGTGGTTACTGTGATCAAGGAAATGCAATTAGTGAGAAAAGTATGTGGTTTCTCCATGCCAAAACAATATAATTATTCAGAAAAGGGAAGATACTCCTTTTATCAAGACCAGAAATTCCTGCAGTAAGCCTCACCAACAAAATCCTGTACCATTAACAAGATACACATTCAGCCACTTATTTGTAGTAAATATGTTGATGTTATTTCATAGAACTGTCCTTCTAAAGCCTCTTGGTATAAGCTTAGGACATTATACTGAACTGTAATTTAAAATAAACAGTTATATGGATGTTAATATAGTTTGGATCTGTGTCCCCACCCAAATCTCATGTTGAAACGTAATCCCCAATTCTGGAGGTGGGGCCTGGTAGGAGGTGATTGGATAATGGGGGTTGTTTTTCATGAATGGTTTGGCACCATTTCCTTTGATACTCTCCTCTCTAGTGATAGTGAGTGTGTTCTCATGAGATCTGATTGTTTATAAGCATGTGGCACCCCCTCTTTCTCCTGCTGTGGCCATGTAAGTGCTCATTCCCCCTTTGCCTTCTGCCATGATTATAGCTTTCCTGAGGCCTCCCCAGAAGCTGAGCAGATGACAGTATTATGCTTCCTGTACAGCCTGCAGAATTGTAAGCCAATTTCTTTATAAATTACCCAGTCTCTGGTATTTCCTTACAGCAATGAGAGAACAGACTAATACAAATGTCAATATACTGTAATCTGAGTATGTGGTTCTCTAAGAATCTGACTTAATTTAGGAATAAAATGTCAAATATGGAGACCAGATTTTTCTTAGGTCTGGTACAGTAGACATTAATCCCTAGCAGCCCTTTGATGAAACGAGACAAAATGAAAGTCATATAAACTCAGAAGGCACTAAATATTATCTTAGAATTAAAAAAAATCACATTGAGGTATTAAATATTTTGAGAGAATTTATAGTACATAAACATTTATATTTATTACTTTTCATTTATTCAGCAAATAGTACCCACTGTGTTCAATATGTGCTCAATGTTACGAATGTGATGGTGAGCAAGTCTAAATAAAGTGGATGCTCTCATAAAGCTGAGAGTCTAGTGGAATAAATTGACATTAACAATCACACTTAAAAAGATATAATTACAAACTCACGTAAGTACTCTGAAGAAAATAACTTGGCCCTGGTGTCTGCGAGGACTCTTCTAAATATTCATGCATATGAATCCATTTAACACTTTAGATAACCCTATGAATTAGGCATTATGACTGTCCCCAAATTACATATCAGCAATCTAAGACACACAAAACAAAAGCACATGGCTACTAATGATACTTCCAGGAGGTGAACGTAGGCAAGTCTAACTCCAGAGCCAGCCATTTTGTTCCTATAACATGGATTATGGTTTTATAAGACCATATAAAAACAAATTGTGAAGAGTCCAAACTATCCTTATTTTCAGGTGATATAATGTGAAAAAATAGAGTTGGATGCAATTGATAAGTCATCCCCAGCAGGATGACATTGGCCAAATGATTACACTTGCCAGGGCATCAGCTATGCTTCTTCTGCTAAGTCACCTGGATAAGTGCTTACCTCAGGCAGCCAGTCCTGCTCCCTGTGCCCTCAATCTCCTCGCCAAAGGCTGGATTTGGGTCCAACCACAGGATTATTCACAAATTACACAGACACTCAGGGCTAGGTTTGCTCTACCTGCCCCAAAGTCAGAGTTCCCCCAGCAGTGGTCACTCTGCCAGCAATGTGCTTATGCCAGAGTGAGTAATACATCTTCAAGTTCTTTGTTACTGGCTTTAGTGGTGTGTTTTTAAATCCCAGTACTATAAATGGGAGATAATGATAAAACACGCAACAAGTTAGGTCCTACCTTAACATAACTGTTATTAACAAATTACCTACTGGTTCCAATAAAAGAAACAAGAACTATCTCACATAATACCAACTTAACAGTAAATGGTGTTCCTGTATACCATCAGTAACTAAAAGGAAAGGAAACTAAGATAGATTAATTTTCAAGATGGCAAAACAAAATATTCCTCCAAAACAATCAAACAAAAGAAAGCAAGGAAGTAAATAAAAACAACCTGGCTGGGTGCAGTGGCTCACGCCCGTAATCGCACTTTGGGAGGCCGAGGTGGGCTGATCACGAGGTCAGGAGATCGAGACCATCCTGGCTAACATGGTGAAACCCTGTCTCTAATAAAAAAATAGAAAAAGTTAGCCAGGCGTGGTGGTGGAGGCCTGTAGTCCCAGCTACTCGGGAGGCTGAGGCAGGAGAATGGCCTGAACCAGGGAGGTGGAGCTTGCAGTGAGCCAAGATCGCACCACTGCATTCCAGCCTTGGTGACAGAGCAAGATTCTATCTCAAAAAATAAATAAATAAATAAATAAATAAATAAATAAATAAATACAACCTACAGACCATCTAGAAATTACATGTAAGTAATTTAGAAGGCTGTCATAAAGCAGGTTGTAGCACAAGATTTAAATAAATGGAAACTAATACCATATTTCTGAATGAGATGACTTAATATTGTAAAGGTTTTAATTTTTTGTAAATGTATCTATAATTGCAAAATAATTCCAATAAAACTCAAACAGAGTTTTGGAAAAACATGAGGAGGCTATTTTAAAAATTTACGTAAAAGAGGCTGGGCATAATGGCTCATGCCTATAATCCCAGCACTTTGGGAGGGTGAGACAAAAGGATTGCTTAAGCCCAGGAGTTTGAGACCAGCCTCGGCAACAGAACAGGACCTTATATCTACAAAAATTTTAAAAAATCAGCTGGATGTGGTGGCAGATGCCTGTAGGCCTGTAGTCCTAGCTACTCGAGAGGTTTAAGCAGAAAGATTGCTTGATCCCAGGAGTTTGAGGTTGCATTGAGCTATGATCACACCACTGCATTCCAGCCCGAGTGACACAGTTAGGCCCTTTCTCTAAAACAAATACATAAAAAAGAATAAAAATTTATATAAAGAAGTAAAATTCTGTTGCTTACTAATAGTATCTTTAAAAGATAAAACAGAGAAGAGGCCTCATGCTACTAGACATTAATCCATGTAATCCATGTTAGAGAACATTATGATGGAAACAGTGCATTCCTTATATATGAACAGAAAGATTCACTAACAGTCTTGTATACAAAGACACTGAGCATAGATTTAAGGAGGTCTCAAACTTTAGGGGAGAAAAGATGGATTATTTAGTAGAAGGCATTGCAAAAATGGCTCATTTTTGATGTGAAAAAAAATTGCCTCATTTTATATAAAAGGTAAATTTGATATGAAATAAAGACTTGAATATAAAAGGCAAAATATAAAAGCTAAGAAAAATATTAATAATAAAATATAAATTTAAATGCCTAAATATTCAAGTTTTTTCTTAAATAAAATGTATTAGAAACTTGGAGAAAATATTTGCAATGCTTAAAACAAAGAATTTACAAGAAACTCTGCAAATCAAAAGGAAACCTAAAAAACACAAGTGAAAATGGGCAAAAAGCATAAACAGGCAGTTCACAGCAAGGTTGAAAAGTTGCTCTATTACATTACTAACATATTAATTTATACAGAAACAATACCAAGATTCTATAAGACTGGAATTAGAACTCAGAAAAAATGCCAAGTATTTGCAAATATGTATGAAATGAAAACTCTTGTGCTTTGTGCACTGTTGTTAGAAGTTTAGACAGCTGCAGATGTCCAACAGTATTTAGGGAAATTAAGCATGCTTGTTTTTTTTGTGAATATATCTTTGAACTAGTAATTTCACTCCTTATTGTGTACTCCTTATTACATATTTGTTAGTTCATATTAGAGTATTATTTTAAGAAGGGAGGAGTTATAGTTTACCCAGGTATTCAGCCCAAGACAATTGGATAATAAAACTAGGATGAGTGCACACCGTGGAGTAGCATGAAGCATTCAAAAGCAGAGAACATGAGATTCATATACCACCCTAGAATGACTGTGAAACAGTTTGGAGTGGAAAAAGTCAGGCAGAAATTTTTCGCATAAGATCATTTATTTTAATGAAAATAGATACATATAAAAAAAAACTGTTAATGTTCCTTATGGATATATACTTATCCAAAGACACATGTTAAACAGACTTGTGTAGCTGGAAAGAGAAAGAAAAATAGAGTGGCAATTATGGCTCAAAGAGTAAAAATAATAAATCATGAGATAAACCAAATGAACCTTTGTCTTGGTTATTATTATTGCTGTGAAACAAATCTTTCCAAAGTTTAATAACATAAAACAATAGCAAAGACTTGGAACCAACCCTAATGTCCATCAGTGATAGACTGGATTAAGAAAGTGTGGCACATATACACCATGGAATACTATGCAGCCATAAAAAAGGATGAGTTCATGTCCTTTGTAGGAACATGGATGAAGCTGAAAATCATCAGTCTGAGCAAACTGTCACAAGGACAGAAAATCAAACACCGCATGTTCTCACTCATAGGTGGGAATTGAACAATGAGAACATTTGGACATAAGGCAGGGAACATCACACACTGGGGCCTGTCATGGGGTGGGGGGACTGGGGAGGGATAGCATTAGGAGAAATACTTAATGTAAATGACGAGTTAATGGGTGCAGCAAACCAACTTGGCACAGGTATACATATGTAACAAAACTGCATGTTGTGCACATGTACCCTAGAACTTAAAGTATAATAATAAAAAAATAGTATTTATCATACTCATAGATCTATGAGTTAGGGCCTCAGAATGACTATGTCTGAGGCCTCTGCTTAGAAGATTCAGATGGCTGGGGACAAAAACACCTGGGGCTGTATGATCTACTTCCAAGATGATGTCTGCACTCACGTGTTTAAAACCTAAGTTGAGATCATTTAAAGACTGACCCAACTGGGACTGGTCAACAGAACACTTATACATGGCTTCTCTATGTGGCTGAGGCTTGTCACAGCCCAATGGCTTGGTTCTGAGGGGGCATCCTAAGAGGGTCCTTCATTGAATAGGTGTTCCAAGAAAACCAAGTAGAGGTTCCATGATTTTCAATAACCTACTCTCAGAAGTCAGTGTCAATGCTACCATACTCATTGGTTGAAGAAGTCACAACCTCACTGTACTATAAGAAGTGGAGATGCAGTCCCCACCTCTCGGTAGGAGGGGTGGCAAAAGAAGCATAATGAAGGACTGGAGATATTGTCAAGGTCATCTTTAGAAAATGTAACCTGTCACATTTGTCCACAAAAAGAAAGTGATAATGTCTCCTGAGCTGAGCAATATATTAATCACTCCACATCTCAGGTCTCCTCCACAACACCCCCCAACACATGAAAGGGAAGAAAAGACGTCTGATCTAAATGGCAGGTGGGTGTGATCAGTAAAAGCTTTAGCCCTTGAAGTTAAAGCTAAAATTTGTGTAGGAAATAGATATAAAAAAGGGAAAAGTATTTCAAGTGTAGGAGGCAGCCTGTGTTAATGCACTGCAGCAGCAAGAAGCCAGGGTTATGGCGTACACTAGGGACTGAAACATGGTCATTATGACTGGGGCACTGTCTCAGTCTGTCCATGCTGAATTTACCCTGCTATAATAAAATACCTGACATTGAGTAATTGATAAATAATAAAGATTTAATTCTCACAGTTCTGGAGAGAAAGTCCAAGACTAAACTGTTGGCATTCAGTGTCTGGTGAGGGCTTTTTTTGCATTCTCTGGATGGGAGGAACTCTGTGTCCTCACATAGCAGAAGTTCCTTCAGCCCTTTTGTAAGATTACTAATCTCACGAGAGCTCTGCCTTCATGACTTAATCACCTCCTAAATGCCTCACTTCTTAATACTATCACACTGTTATTTAAGTTTCAACATATGAATTTTGGGGGACACATTTAGATCAAAACAGGAACCAAGAGAGAGAGAGAGAATAGGGAGGTAGGTAGAGTCCAAATAATGTAGGTAACATAAAAAATGTTGCAGCTCATTTTAATGGGAAAAGGGAGCAATGGATTTTTTTTTTTTAATGACATGATTTTAACTAGATTTGAACAGAAGAATGGCCACTTGGCCCAGGTAGAAGTAGATGAAGTGTTTGGTTTCATGTGTCAGGTAACTACCGAAGTTCCTCCCCATGATGCAACTCCAGGTGGGATTGTACTTCTTGTCAAATTCTTTCTTGATATGAGCCGCAGTGTCCTCTATGTTGTATTTCTCCAGCGCCTGAGCAGCGCACTCCACTGAGTCCTGTTGCATCTCTTCCGACATGTCCGTATTTTTGATCACGGCCTTTTGGTCGCACTTGGTTACCACGGAGAACTGCAAGGGTCTCCTGGGGAAGGTGCTAGCACGGCTCAGGCCCGGCTGGAGCTGCCTTCGCTACCGAAGCCGTGGCGCCACACACCCAGTGATCCATCCAAAAACAAGGACTGAAGCCTAAATTCTAAATACCAGAGACTGAAATTTTCAGGCTTCCTAAGGGAACACCTCGTTTGAACCTTTGTCGTGTTTTGTACAGGGCATTCTCTGTACTAGTTTGTTGTGGTTATAAAACAATTAGTAGAATAGCCTACGTTTGTATTTATTTTCTGTTCCATACTTCTGCCCCACGTTGTTTTCTCTCAAAATCCATTCCTTTAAAAAATAAATCTGTTGCAGATGAAAAAAATTTTTTTTAAATGACATGATTGAATGTATGTTTTGAAAACAGTCCTATTTCTGTAGTGTGGCAAATAAATAGGAGGAAAGCCAGAGTCAATATAGGAAAACCCAAATTTAGACTAATAAAGCGATCTAAAGAAGAGATCAAGTTTGCTTGAAATAAATGAAAACAGTAGAAGTGGAAAGATGTATACTTATTCAGAGCAGGAATCGCAATGAAAATGCTAATGATTTGGATATGGTAGAGGAAGAAGTAAGAATTATCCTAAACTGAGCAATTGGATAGACCCAACATTTTCTGGGAGAGAGAAAGTTGGTTAGGGTTATGCTTATAAATTAAGGCTTGATCATGAATTTTGAACATAATATCTGTGCTCAGATTAGAATTTTCATCTGAAGTAAAATTTTGGAGACTATTTTGCATGTTTAATTTGCTGTGAATATGGAAAAAATTATTTATGAAGATTGTAAAGTTCAATCAAACAAATGTTTTCTAAAAATATTTGTTCAGAGTCCTTTTTAAAATCATTTATAAAATCATATTGAGAAACTGAAATGAACAAATATTATAAAATATTCTTTGAAAGAAGATGGATGAATACGTATCTTTCAAGAAACCCAGCATGGTTTCTTTTAACCCCTATTTTAAGTTGTTTGAAAAGGCAATGGATCTGAGGTGAAAAACAGTACAGATACTTAGAATACAATTAAGGTACAGAGAACGATAAATTTGGGGTCACATTTTAACAAGCCAGCAAAACTGGGAGAGAGACTAATGTCATGTTGAAAACATTGAGCTAACTGATATTAATTTCTATAGCTAATTTTATTGAATCTGTTTATGTGCTTAGCACTTTACATGTTTAACTAATATATTCATAACAATCTGATGAATTAAGAAATAGTATTATTTTTACATCAAAGACCATGAAACAGACTCAGGAGAGTTATATTTCTTAAAAAAGATTACCTGCAAGTGCAAAAACTAGAATATAAATTTGTGTAGTTTCTATCCACCTCAAAGACAACACAAATCTCCATGAAAGGGAGACACAAAGATATTCATGAGAAACACTGCCTTGTATTTTACGTTGCTGTTCTATAAAATGAGATGTATACAATAAGATTTAATAAAATATAAAAACCTAGAAAACTGCAAAGTCTAATAACTTTGGATCAGACTTTAAAAATTAATCAAGTAGAATATTTCAGATGATTTTTCTCTATCTCATCTGGCATAAGGTGTGGAGGATTGGCAAACTGTGAATTATTTGGCTATGACATGATGAGTAATATCTGAGTGAAAAATATCTAGACATGAGACCCTAGCATGTGCTTCCTAACCACTCTTTGGCAGAATTGAAGCTTCTCATCTGTCTGCTAGCCAAGACTCTTAAGATTAGGTATGGCATCATTAGGTATTAAAATGCTTTTATAGCGTATTTCTTAGAAGGAATTTTTGGGAAGCCTTACATCTTAGCAAATGGGAACATAGATCTTTTAAGGTAGTGTCCAGAAATGAACTCAATGTAATTTTCCATGTTTTAACAGCTGCTATTCAAGGAGATCATATTTTTTTGCAAACAAATAGCACTTTATAATGTTTACAGGTAGATTTTTTGCCATATTTATTAAAAAGTAAAATCAAAATGCTAAATGATAGATATTAATTAGATGCAAAATAATGCATAGGTCCCACATGTATGAGTTGGTTTTGATGTCATGAAAGAAAGTACATTTAACTGCTTTGATTAACTGACATAACTAAGAAAAACTCAACTTTATGACCGATTGGGAATCATCTTTGGTAGAAAGTTGGCCTATAATTACTTGTTTCTTATTTGTCTCTGGCTCTTTTTCTTTGGCTTTTACACTGCTGGTAGCATTTTTTAGCCTGCAGGGACATCAAGTTTTCAACATTCTACCAGTAAGGAGAAAAAATGCTCTTAAAGAGTCCTGATATTCAAAGGCTCTTATATAGAGTCCTTGGGATACTTTATGAGGTCACTGGTCCATACAATTGAGCTTCTAGTGAGACTAATAATAGAATTATAAGTAAAAATTGAGTATGAATACACTTTCTTTTCTTGGCTCTGTCTTGTGAGATATATATTTGGTATCCCTTTCTCCTATGTGGTTTCTATGGAAAAATAAGGTCTGAGGTTTTATTATTATTATTTTATTATTTTCTTAATAATGTAAGCATTCACCTCTCCCCTGAATGATCAGCAAAAACCGAGTGGAGGCCAACGACAACACCAAAATTCCTAAGCTGGCTTAGAGATTCTCTACTTATTTCTATCTTACATGCTGTTATTCATCATTTATCAGTAGAATTTGTATGGTCTAGAAGAAAAGGATTATGGTATAATCCCAGGGAAAATACACAAAAAGCTACCACTGTGTCTGTCTCTCTCTAGTTAGCATCCTAAGGTAAAACTTCAAGAAAGGCCCTAAAGAATAATATGTAATTTGGCCCAGCTTACAAAGGTAGAAACCCAAGTATGATTTAGAATCAAGTGCTGGGTAGAAACAAATATTTGCCTTGAGCATTGTCTTCAATGAAGGCAAAAACAATTCGGATTTTCATACTTTTCGATAATAGAATAAGTCTAAGACAGTGAGTCCCATAAGATATTGGATTACAAATCTTAGAATCACATTCCATGAGTACATTTTCCTCCCTCAATAAAATTCCATCAATCTATATTAAACCATTAAGACTCAAATGGTTTTAAAAATTGGCAAGTAAATAAAAGAGTCATAGGGTTTTATTGGACTTTAAGTCCACGCATTCCTTAAATTATACCATGGGCAAACATAAATTTACAATGTATCTGTCTTAACTTTGCCCCTATATTTTGTGAAGTGAAAACATTTCAATTTCAGGAGCTAAGCAATTACAGTGTCCAGTCACTTTGCAAATAAGTCTGCTTTGTCTGACCACCTGAATACACAAGTCCATCATTCTTAAAACGAAATCTTTGCCTCAACATTTCTTTTGTTGGCTTTATACTAGTTAGTTACTTTTTGTCAGCTCTTGTCTTGATATTCTCCTTTACTTTGGACACTTATTGCTTCCTCTAAGATTTGAATCTTACCCTGTCCTTATCAGTATTTCTTAAAACCTTAAAAATGTACCCTCAAAATCCTGTCGCATCACTGGAATCTTGATGCCTGCTGTTGGGCCCACTGACACTATTCACTTGTCTGGATCTTTGAAGCTTATTGGTCCTATGTCAGTGTTCCCTACTCATCTGTTAAAATGCTCACTAGTTGTCTTTGGCTGAATTTTGCCTATTATTACCAGTTGCTATTCTATCCAAATTCAGATCCTATTTGTCCAGCTGGACTGGCTATGGTGTATGAAATCACGAATCTTGGTTCAATGTTTAGTTCTGATACTGACCTAGCTGAATTTGTTAATGGTATTGAGCTTTATTTTCTTCACCTTCAATATGGGGACAGAGTTAAGCATCTATGATTTTATATCTAATTAATATAGAGAAAGGTGGTTATTGATATATAGAAATTATATAGATAAGTAGGTAACATTGATTCAACACTTACTGTATGAATAAGCACTGTAACAAGCTCTTTATTGAAATGATAATAATCTAGGGATTGCTATGATTTCCATCTAAGTGACTTGCTAAGATCTCAGACTTTCTTCTGAATCCAAGACATAATGACTATTATGACTTAGTTTATACTATTATTGTAAGAAATAGAGATAAAGCCCTTGGCATTGTCCCTGATATTTAAGCGGCAACTCCACCTGTCCTTGTGGCTGAGTTTAAAACAGACAGGAGTCCTGATATGGTTTGGCTGTGTCCCCACCCAAATCTCATCCTGAATTGTACTCCCATAATTCTCACATATTGTGGGAAGGAACTGGTGGGAGATAACTGAATCATGGGGGCGGTTTTCCTCACACTGTTCTCCTGGTAGTGAATATGTCTCATGAGATCTGATGGTTTTATCAGGGGTTTCTGCTTTTGCATCTTCCTTATTCTCTCTGCTTGCTGCCATCCATGTAAGATGGAACTTGCCCCTCCTTGCCTTTCACCATAATTGTGAGGCTTCCCCAGACACATGGAACTGTAAGTCCAATTAAATCTCTTTCTATTGTAAATTGCCCAGTCTTGCATATGTCTTTATCAGCAGCATGAAAATGGACTAATACAAGTCCTGTCATTCTCTGAGTGTGTAATATTCACGCCTAGTCTCTCTGGCCTAAGTTAACATACGTGCTGCAAAGCTATCACCAACTAATGTTGCTTCCCTTGTGCTGCAGCTGTAACTTCTTTACATTTTATTTATATCCCAGTTGATTACTTCCTATTTTGTACCCAATTATTTCTTTAACAAATCGTAAAGATATTTTTTGAAAATCCACTACAATATGTATATTGCAGACACAATTCTGTTTTGGGTAATTGTTTTAACCAATAGTAAATTTTTTAAACTGAAGTAAAACATAATGTAACTGAACTAAAATTAATGTGAACTATAAGATAAATTAAATGAATTGACTGTATCTTGCCTGAGCTACGTGACTGTCTATAGAATACCTACTACATGGAATGATGTTTGTTGCTAACAATTAGTACATAGAAAGTTCTTAAATTGTTTTTGAAAGTCAATTTGTCTGAAGACCTTGGAACAAAATGACATATAATTGACTGACCACCCTAGTTGGTGCTTTTGGAACTTAATTCTATCACTATTAGATATAGAGGAAGCAATTTGCTTAAATTCTTACTAAATAGAAATATTGGTACCGAAAACTGTAAAGCATCTGAGCATTTACCCTAAGTCATTGTTGACAAGTTAGTTTCATGGATGCTGGCAAAAGGCATAAGACTCCTGGTCACATATTACTCATTGCACAGCAAATAGTATGAACTTTATGTTTGTTTTGGCTCCCACCACTCTGCATGTCCTACAGGGGTGACACAAATAGGTGTAGGTGGATGTCTCATAGGTAGTAGGTTGGTGTCACAGTTGAGAAATGCCAAGCTTAGAGAACCTGAGTCTTTTATAATGAATTGCAAACCTGACTGATCTTGGCCTTTGAAGGGGATGTTACCTTCATTATATTTGACAATACAATAAAAGAAAAGGGGGGAAACACTCTTGGCTCGAGAGAGAGACACTTTTTCTCCCTTCCAAGGGAGTATAAGGCTCTTCACAGTATAAATATCTTTGACAAGATAGTCCAGGATACAGGCTATCAGTGCTTCTTGCAAGATGTATAGAAATGCAAAAGATTCGTGTAGAATTGTTGACACATTCTTTGATTTGATTCTAAGTTATGCTTTAATTAGAATTCAACAGTTCTAGCTGGTAACATCAAAAGTGAAGAAATTGATTCATCCTGGTTTTGGGGGCTCAACTCACATGGCTATTTCTCTGTATCCACAATAATATTTTATACTATTCTGAATAATTGATTCCAGAAAATATAATCATGCTTTGGTACTGTGAAGAGTCAATTTCATTTATAAAATAGTGGTGACGGTGCTACCAGATGAAGTCTGTGGCGATAACTACACCAGAATATTTCTGGTGATAGATATACCAAAATAGATAGAGAAAGAATCTATAGAACAAGACAAAATTTCAGTTTTTGTAGTTTTCATCCTTCGCATTAGTTCATTCACTCAACCTATATGCCAATTCTATATTTAAGATATGGCCAGCATAATTGTATGTATGCTAGAAATATTGTGGTGAATAAAACAGAAAAAAAGTTTCCATATTTTGGAATTTAGAACTTAGTGGCACAATCCATCTTTACCAGGTAAGTCATGACTATTTAAGAGAAACACAATGAGCAACTGCCTGGTAACTACCAATTAATGTTATATCCCCATTACTATGCAATTAATAATTAAGAAAGTCAATATTACGACCTTTGACACCCCAAAAAGATGAAAAAGGTAGTTTTTTTTTCCTACGAACTGATTCTCTTTCCTATTTTATACTTTACTTTTCTTCATAGTTGCTAATAGCCTATGTGTGGGTGTTTATCTTGTAAGTAAAACTTATTTATTTGCAAATGTTTATTTTCTACTATAATATAAGATGCACTAGAATATAAGAAATCAGGGATTTCTGTCTGTTTCATTCAGTGTTACATATAATATAAAAAGTTCTGACACAGAGTAAGTACTCAATAAATATTTGTTGACTAAATTAAATTGATGAATAAAATAGATTCCCAGGGAGCAAAGGGCTCCATAGATATTCCCAAAGGTAACTGGAGTTGAAGAAGAAAAGGTCTCCATTTGGTGTTAGATGTAGCATATCTTTGTATTAACAGAAAAAAAAAATCCTATGTGAAACTTTGTTGGAGGCTGGAATTAAAGTATAATCGGGGTTGGAATTAAAGTATAATTCCTTTAATACTGAATATATATGAAAACAAGAAAGTATAGTTTATTACTTTTAATGGAAATATGTTTATACCCTCCATTCTAATGTGGTCTGGTGAAAAATGGTTTCATATATAAAAGTGATCATGAAACTTCTTTTGAACAGAAAACAGATCTAAAATTCAGCCAGACATAAAGAAACAAGATATTTTCTTGAAATATGACTTGGGATGAAAAGACCAGGGCAATCTCTCCATATTTAGTTTTAAATCTCAATGGAAGGCAATTAATTTAAGGTGTATGAAAGGATAATTCTATAAACATGTTTAATGAAGACTTTCCTATGCCAAGGATGGTGATTATACCAATTGCAAATGATAGATTTATGTTTTTAGCTTTTCCCTCACATATGCCAGCTGGCCTGGAATAGAAGAATTTGAGTTAAAATACATTTCACTATTGTGCTAAAAATATCATTTTGACTTGAAACTTAGGCCTGAGATAATAGTCTTACTTGTAATGCGTACCTTTAGAGATAATATTTTAGACAGTTGCAAAATAGGACAAAAGAGATGACCCTTTAAAAAACATATAATGAATTCTTGACATTTCTGTAGTTTGGCTAAATCCAGTGTAAAAATGGTTTCAGGAAGTGAGATGTTTTATATAGTTTCATTTTATAAATAAGAATATGTGTGTTCTTTTAGTTTAAAGAGCCCCAAATGCAATGACTATCTTTCAGACTGCTTTTGCCTGAGGAGGAAAACAATTATCATCTTGTTTTATTTTTTGTTTCAATAATTTTCAATTCAGAAAATCAAGTTTTAACAATTATGTTTATGCCTTGTGAATATTCTAAAGTGTTTTTTTAGAAAGCAGCTGTAATGAAGTAAAAAATAAGTATGAGGAACAAGCTAAAAAAGAATTTTATTCATAAGCAATAAAAATCTCTATGTGATGATTCTAAGAATTTTTCAAACTCAAGGGAAAAAGTGGCCCAAATCATTTCACAGGTGTCACAGTTTTCAGATTTAGAGATGAGATAGCATCATTTATTATCGAAGTATTACTAAATCAGTAAAAAAGACATTTTAAAATATCTAAGCCCTCTATAAGTTGTAGACAATATTTATATTTCAATCTACAAAATAGTTAAGTATTAATATTTGGAAAGCACAGGAACCCATGACCTGACGGGACTTCATTCTATAATTCTAATCGCTAAATTTAATTCATAAGATAAATAAGTTGTAATTCTAAGGTGGTTCAATTTATAAGTGAATGATGTAAAAGAATCAATGCTGCTTTTACTAAGTTATACAAAAGAACTACTGACAGAGAAAAAATTCGTAAGCCAATATATTTCGCAACGTATTTTTAATCAAAGAAAGATTAAAATACCTAACAATAGCCTTTCAGACTAACCTTTTATTCATTAGTAGATTATACCATTAATCGACATCACAGTTTTCTTATTTTGTCTCTGATACTTCTAGAATTTTTGTCTCTTATTAGTATTTAATATTTACTTGTGATTAAAAGAAATTCTTCAATTTGGTGAGACATTCACAAAAACACACACCTGTGGCTGGTCTTTTTAAGAGAATGCTGCTTGACTGAATCCATCTTCATCAGGTAAACTACGACTCTCCCAGAGAGCCACAACTAGCAACTGCCTAAAAACTACAACCACTCATTTGCCTTCATTCCTGTGTATATAATTTCTACCCTCTTACCAATGAATATAGTTCTCTTTTTAAATTTGGGATAATGCTGGGGAATGGGGATGGGATAGGGAAAAGAAAGAAGCATGGGCTTTGGAAAAATTTGACCCTGTAGCTACGTTCATGCCTAACAGAATTTTTAAAAAATGAAATAAAATAAAATAAGTCTTCAGATGGTAGAAAACCCAAGAGCTGTCTTGCCACACAATGATCAGAATAAACACTAAGATTCTGGTAACTTCTTATAACACCTGTTTATAAATATCATTTAATCCTCATAGAGCTCTTTGAGGCAGATACTTTATCAGGACCTCTTTAAATATACAAGAGATTAATATAACTCAACTCTGTTTTATATATTTTAGCTAAAATATTCTGACTCAAGATCACGAAGTGCAGTGGTTTGCAGTTTGAGGAATAGTGACAAGGACGCTTCACCCACATACCATCAGAAGTCATGCTCAAATTGCATTTGGGCTACTTTAAACTACATACACCACAAGCCTGCTCAGAGTTTGACAGAGAGGCTACTCCATCTAATTATATATTATTTATATTAAATTTTCCCTTGCCCGAATTAGAAAAATTATTTTATACATTTATTATACAGTTGGAGTTTTTTTGTCACCACCAGAATTATTTTCTGGGATACCCTGACTTCCTGAATGATTTTTAAAATTTGCAAATATTACAGTTTATCTTATAAAATTCTAGATTTTCAAAAATGTATAATGTCATGTATTTACCATTACAGTATCATACAGAAGAATTTGATCATCCTAAATCTCCCCATGCTTCACATTTTCATTCTTCTGTCCATGAACACCTGCAATCATTGATATTTTACAGCCTCTATAATTTTGCTTTTTGCAGAATGTCATACAATTGAAATCACACAATATGTAGCCTTTTCAGACCAGCTTTCTTATCTTGGCATTATGCATTTGAGTTTCCTCCATATCTTTTCATCGCTTGATAGCTCATTTTTTAAATCACTGAATCCATTGGATGATGTAACACAGTTTGTTTATCCTTTCACCTGTTTAAAACATTCTAGTTGTTTCCAATTTGATTGTGAGTATGAATAAAGCTAAACATTCCTCTGCATGTTTTTGTGTGATCATAGTTTTTAACTCAATTAGATAAATACCTAGGAGAGCTACATCATATGGTAAACCTATTTTCCTTCTTTGTAAGAAACAGTCAAATTATCTTCCAAAATGGCTGCACAATTTCACATTCCTATCAGCAATAAGTAAGAGTTACTGTTCTTCCACATTCTCATCAGCATTTGGTATTGTTAATGTTTTGAATCTCAGCCATTCTACCAAGTCTATAGTGGCATCTCATTACTGTTTTAGCTCAAAATTCCCTAATTGCAAATGATATCAAGTATCTTTGCATATTCTTGTTGCAGTTTGCCTTATTTAGTGAGATGTTTACTGTAATCTTTTACCCATTTTTCAACTGCGATTTTTATTTATAGTATTCTATTCTATAAATTTCTCTCTAAGCACTGCTTTTACTTTATCCCACCAATTTTGTATTTTTATTCACTTTTAGTACAAAATACTTGTTAATTTCTCTTGAAACTTCTTTTTTGACCCATGTTTTACTAGAAGTATGTTGTCTAATCTCTGTTTTTAAAATTTTCAGCCCTATTTCTGTTATTGACTTCTTGTTTAATTCCTTGTAGTCTGTGAAGATACATTCTATGAGTGTTATTCTTCAATTTTTCTGCCTGCTTTATCTGGCCATTACTGAAAGAGATGATTGAATTCTTCATCCGTAATAGTGAATTTGTCTATTTCTTCTTATACTTCTATCAGTTTTGCATCATATATTTTGGCACTGTGTTGTTAGGGGCATATACAGTAAATTTTGTTTTGTACTTTTGGAAAATTAACCTCTGTAACATTACGTAATGACTCTCTTTATTCTTGTCTATTTATTTGCTCTGAAGTTTATTTTGTCTGAAATTAATATAGCTACTCCAGCTTTCTTTCACTTAGAATTAGCATAATATATGTTTCCATTCCTTTACCATTAGCCTGTTTCTTTATATCTAAAGGGAAATTTTGAAGACAATGCATAGATTTTTTTTTAAATATACTCTGATATTCACTGTTATTTAATTGGTACGTTTAGGCCACTCAAAAAGTGCTTATCAACCACTTTTTAAAGTGCTTTTTTATATAGCTGAAATTATATCTACTGTATTTGTAACTATTTATTTTGTGCATTTTTCTTTGTCTTTTTCAGTTTTCACATTTTTCTAATTTTTCTGGTTTTATTTAGAATCTTACATTTTTCAATTTTGTCTCCCCTCAGTAAAATAAATTTTATTTCCTTAAAAAATGTTTTAGTGATTGCCCTAGATTTTGAAATGTACATTTTACAACTATCTGAATTCATTTTCAAGTAACCCTATACTTTTTTTGAGTAGTGTAAGTAACTTCTAACAGAGTAGTTAGTCCTAATTTCTCCCTACTGTTGTTAGTGGTGGCAAATCTGTACACATATGCAGCAACCTCAATTCTTGCTGCTCACTCAGACGAAAGAATTGGACTAGGAGGCATAGGGCAGAAGGGGAGACCCAGGCACGTTTGCGAGCAGGAGTGACATTTTATTAAAAAGCTTTAGAGCAGAAATGAAAAGAAGTAAAGTACACTTGGAAGAGGGCCAAGCATGTGACTTGAGAAATCAAGTGTGTGGTTTGACCTTTGACTTAGAATTTTATATGTTGGCATGCTTCTGTGGTCTTGGGTCTCTTCTCCCCTGATTCTTCCCTTTGGGTGGGCTGTCCGAATGCCCAGTGGCCTGCCAGCACTTGGAGGGGACTGCATGTGCAGTGTATTTACTGCAGTTGTATGCATGCTCACTTGAGGCATTCTTCCCTTACCAGTCAAGTGTTCCTATAAAGTCATATACCAGTTAAACTCTGCCATTTTGCCTCCTAGCATGCATGCTTGAGCCCACTTGCCCAGCTCCTGAGATCTTATTGGGAAGCTGATCAACAGTTTCAGGTTTTTCTAGCTATTGGTGCCTTTCTCTGGCACAGGCTATTGCCAATTGTTATTTAAGAGAGACAGTTAAGTGCCTGACCATCATCTGATGGTCACCTGACTTTCCTGCTGGTAGAGGTGGCCCTCTCGTGTCCTCTTCATGTCTGACTAGCTACCTATGCAGCACCTCTCTTATAATATTGATGCCACTTATTTACTTATTTGTATAACATTACAACTTTGAACAAATAGTTATCTATTAGATAACAATTATACATCTATTATAGATCTATTTGATCTGTAATGATAATTATTTATACATCTATTAGATCTATAATAATAATTTATAGATCTAATAGATCTATAATAATAATTATTATTATCTATTAATAATAGATCTATAATTATTATTATAGATCTATTTTATATAACTATAATAATAACTATTTACAGATCTATTACATAACTAGCTAGATCTATTCCTTTTGACAATTTCTCATTAAACAGAAGAAAACAAAATTTTATTTTACCGATATTCATTGCTTCTCAGATGCTCTTTATGGAGCTCCAATTTTGTATATAATTTTCCTTCTTTCTGAAGAACTTCTTGTAATGTTTCTTTCAGGTAGCGTTTACTAAACCTAGTAGTAAAAAATGTTTCCTCAGTTTTTGATTTTCTGAGAAAGTATTTATTTCTGCTTCACTTTTGAATGATCATTTTGGTGGATAAATTATTCTTAGTTGGAATTTTTTTTTCAGCATGTGAATATTTCACTCTACTCTTTTCTTGCTTCTATTGTTTCCAAAGAGATGTTTGATGTAGTTCTTATCCTTGTTCCTTGAAGGTGGTTTTCCTCTCTTCTGTCTATCTTGTTTCTTTTTCTTTATATGAATGCCAAGGTGTATATTTTTTGGTCTTTATTTGCTTAGTGTTTTCTGGGTCTGTGTTTTAGTATCTGTCAATAATTTAAAAAAATTATCAGTTATTACTATTTCAAACATTTCTTGTGCTCCTTTTCTCTCTTTCTTCCCTAGTATTTCAATTACACATATATTAATCATTTGTAATTATCCTACAGTGCTGGGATATTCTATTATGTCATTAAATTTTTTTTTCTGTTCATTTCAGTTTGAAAAGTTTCTATTGACATAATTTCAAGCTCATTGACTCTTTTTCTCAGATGTGTCCAGTCTACTTATAAACCCATCAAAAGTCATTTTACATTTCTGTTACTATGCTTTTGATTTTTGGCATTTCATTTTGACAATTTCCCAATGTTTCTATTTCTCTGCTTACATTACCCATACCTTCTTATATCTTGTCCACTTTTCTCATTAGAGCCCATACATCATTGATGAAAACTGTATCAGTCTGTTCTCACACTGCTGATAAAGACATACCTGAGACTGAGTAGTTTATAAAGGAAAGAGATTTAATTGACTCACAGTTCCACTTGGCTGGGGAGGCCTCACAATCATAATGGAAGGCAAAGGAGGAGCAAAGTAACATCTTACATGCTGGCAAGCAAGAAAGAGAGCATGGGCAGGGGAACTACTCTTTGTAAAACCATCAGATCTTTTAAGACTTATTCACTATCATGAGAACAGCATGGGAAAGACCTATCTCCATGATTCAATTAATCCCACCAGCTCCCTTCTACAATATGGGGGAATTATGGAAGGTACAATTAGAAATTTGGGTGGGAACACAGCCAAGCCATATCATTCTGCCCCTGGCCCCTTCCAAATCTAATGTCCTTTTCACATTATAAAACCAATTATGCCTTCCCAACAGTCTCCAGAAGTCTTAACTCATTTCAGCATTAATTCAAAAGCCCACAGTCCAAAGTCTCATCTGAGACAAGGCAAGACCCTTCTGCCTATGAGCCTGTAAAGTCAAAAGCTAGTTACTTCCTACACACAATGGGGGTATAAGCATTGGGTAAACACACCCATTCTAAATGGGATAAATTGGCCTAAACAAAGGGGCTACAAGCCCTATGCAAGCTCAAAAATCCAACAGGGCAGTCAAATATTAAAGCTCGGAAATGATCTCCTTTGACTCTAGGTCCCACATCCAGGTCACACTGATGCAAGATGTGGGTTGGCTCCCATGGCCTTGGGCAGCTCTGCCCCTGTGACTTTGAATGGTATAGCTCTGCTCCTGGCTACTTTCATGGGCTGGCATTGAGTGCCTGCAGCTTTTCCAGGAACATGGTGCAAGCTGTTGGTGGATCTACCATCCTGGGGTCTAGAGGACAGCAGCCCTCTTCCCAGAGCTCCACTAAGTAGTGCCCCAGTGGGGACTCTGTGTGGGGGTTTGCATCCCTTCTGCACTACCCTAGCAGAGGTTTTCCAGGAGGGCTCTGCACCTGCAGCACACCTCTGTCTGTACATCCAGGCATTTCCATACATTCTCTGAAATCTAGGCAGAGGTTCTGAAATCCCAATTCTTGACTTCTGTGTACCAGCAGGCCCAATGCCATGTGTTAGCTGCTAAGGCTTGGGGCTTGCACCCTCTGAATCAACGACCTGAGCTGTACATTGGTCTCTTTCAGTCAGGGCTGGGAAGCAGGGCACCAAGTCCCTAGGCTGCACAGAGCAGGAGGGCCCTGGGCCCAGACCAGGAAACTGTTTTTCCCTCCTAGGCCTCTGGGCCTATGAATGGAGGGGCTGTTGTGAAGTTCTCTGCCATGCCCTGGACACATTTTTCCCATTGTCTTGGCGATTAGCATTTGGCTCCTTGTTACTTATGCAAATTTCTATAGCCAGCTTGAATTTCTCCCTAGAAAATCATTTTTTATTTACTACTGCATTATCAGGCTGCAATTTTTTTAACTTTTATGCTTTGTCGCCTTTTGAATGCTTTGCTGCTTAAACATTTCTTCCACCAGATACCCTAAATCATCTCTCTTAAGTTCAAAGTTCCACAGATCTCTAGATAAGGGGCAAAATGTCGTGTCTCTTTGTATAGCAAGAGTGACCTTTACTTCAGTTTCCAACAAGTTTCTCATCTCCATCTGACACCAGCTCAGCCAAGACCTTATTGTCCATATCACTATCAGCATTTTGGTTAAAGACATTCAACAAGTCTCTAGGAAGTTCCAAACTTTCCCACATCTTCTTGTCTTCTGAGTCCTACAAGTCTTTAGGAAGTTCCAAACTTTCCCACATTTTTCTATCTTCTTCTGAGCCCTCCAAACTGCTCTAACTTCTGACTGTTACCCAGTTCCAAATTCATTTCCACATTTTCAGGTATCTTTACAGCAGCTCCCTACTATCTGGTACCAAGTTACTGTATTAGTCTGTTCTCATACTGCTAATAAAGACATAGCCAAGACTGGGTAATTTATAAAGGAACGAGGTTTAATTGACTGACAGTTCCACATTGCTGGAGAGGACTCAAAACCATGGTGGAAGGCAAATAAGGAGTAAGGTCACATCTTCCATGGCTGTAGGCAAGAAAGAGATCATGTGTAGGGGAACTTCCCTTTATATAACCATCAGATCTCATGAGACTTATTCACTATCATGAAAACAGCATGGGAAAGACCTGCCCTCATGATTGAATTACCTCTTACCAGGTCCCTCCCAAGACAAGTGGGAATTATGGGAGCTACAATTTAAGATTTGGGTGGGGACAAAGCCAAAACATATAAACATCCAAACCCTGTAAAAGATTTAAAGAGTTATATTCTGAGCAAATATGAGAAATCATGGCAGAGGACAGTCTCAAAAGGTCCTGAGACAGTGTGCCTGAGGCAGTGAGGTTACCATTTGTTTCCATATACTTTAGGAAGACAGAAATTATAGGCAAATACTTAAATTAATACATATATGATATACATTGGTTCAGCCTATAGAGGCAGGATATCTTGAAGTTGACAGGAGTGGTGGGGGGGAAGACTGAATTAAAACTCACAGGGGGATTCAAACATTTTCAGATTGCTAATTGGTTGAAAGAGTTAAGATTTCTAAAGACTTGTCAGTAGAAAGAATGCTTGAGTTAAGGAGGGCTGTGGAGGCCAAGGTTCTTGTTATGCAGATGAAGGCTTCGGGTAGCAGTCTTCAGAGAGAATAGACATAAGCATCTCTTCAGATCTTAAAGGTCTCTGATGTATCTCTCTTAGATCCAGGAAAGAACTAGAAAAAGAAAGCCTGGCTGCATTAATGAAGATTCTCTACAGATATATATTTCCCTCACAATAGACAGCTTTGCAGGAACATTTCAAAATATGTCAAAAAATATGTTTTGGGGTAAAATGTTTTTATTTTCTTCAGGGTCTGCTATCTGTTATGTGATGCTATACCAGAGTCAGGTTGTAAGCTGGTATCTTATTGCCACAGAAATTCTGTTTTGTCAGTTTTATGATCTTTATTTTAGTGTTAATGCTGGCAAGTTGTGCATAAACTCCAAAATGGAGGGGATATATCAAAGTGTGTCCAACCTCCCTTCCCATCATGGCCAGGAATTTAGATTTATAGGTTTCTGTGGGGTCTCCTTGGCCAAGAGGGGGTCCATTTAGTCAGTTGAGGGGCTTAGGATTCTATATTTAGTTTGCATTCTTAATTATAGTAATTTTAGATTCCTTATATGACAATTCTAAAGTCCATGTCAAATCTGAGTTTATGCTTGATTTTTGTATTTTCTCTTGCCTTTAGCATGCCTTGTAATTTTTTGTTGAAAGCCATACAAGATGTATCAGTTACAGAAAATGTCCTTTAGTATGGCTTTTATGATAATCTTGCTAGAAGGTAGTCTGTGTATAATGTTTGCTGTATTCTGTTGGTACTAGTGCTAGAGGCTTCAGTGTCCTTTAGTGTTCTTGTTATTGGCCCCTCCTCCTCCCTGCACACCCACCCCCAACTTTGGAAAGTTGGAAAGGTTTCCAAGGTTGGAAGTTGGTATCTTATTGCCACACAGAGTCTGTTTTGTCAGTCTTATAATCTTTCTTAAGAAAGATCCTTATGATTCTAAAGATCATAAGACTGGCAAATAAATAGATGGAAGTTTCAGCTTTTACAACTGTAATTCATTGTGATTTTATTGGTTTCCTGTTGATGTGATGGTAAGGTGTGGGGAAAAAAAGTGTTTAATAATCTTGTGATTAAATCTCAGTATTTTACTGGGACTGAGTTGTTGGACTGTGACCTTCACAACTTTTTATTTTTATTATTTGCCTTTTTCTATCTCTCAGTAGAAAGAAAGAAGAAAGGCTGGGAGGATTTAGGGACTGGAGTTTGTTAATTGTCCTCCCCCCAGGTCAGATAAGTTTCTGGGAAAATATTTTTCCTTGCAGTGCTGTCTTCGTTATGGAGAAAATGATTTAGCTGTATTTCAAAAGGGTTACTTTTTTCCCTGTCCTGCCAAAAATATAAGGGTATTTTTCTTTGATCTTCACCATGAGAACCTGATGTTGTTCTTGGAGGTAAAACTCACCAAAGTATGCTCCTACCACCCCAACCCTATGACTGGGTGACTAGGAGTTTCTCACTCTCAAGCTAGTCCACACTTAGCTTCCAGCAATTCATCAAAATTATCATTTGAGTATTCTTATCATCATATGGCTCCAGCAGCTTCTGGCCCAAATAATCTGATGGCAAGTATGCTCATCTTTATTCACCTGTCTCTAGCTTTTAGGTTGGTGGTTTTGCACTGTGACCTCAATTCTCTGATGCTTCTCCATTAAGTCATTAATTATTGGTTTGTCAAGCATTTTCCTTGTTTAATTATTTATTAGTTATTTATTTATTACTGCTTTCTCTTGAAATTGTTTTCTATGATCTTAGTAGCACACTATAAACATCATTTTCTCCCTGGTTTTCCCTGTAATTCACAATAATTGAATACTACTTCTATGTGTTTTATTATTATAATAAACACTAACTCTCTATTCTACATTGTCCTTTTTGTTCACTTAGCAAACTTTACCTGGAAAGCTCATTCATGCTACCGTCTTCAATGATCACCTATAGAATTATGCCATGGAACTATTTTGTTTGGTCTAGACATCTTCCAAAGTTCTAGATGTGTGGGTCCATCTATTTACTGAGCATCCTGACACTGAGGCATAAAATTACTGAAAACTGATTACTGAGGAGTACTCTCAAGAGACAACCTGGTTAAGGGTACCTCTTACTCAGTGATCTTCCCCTCTTGCAGGAGTGATCTCCTCTCCAGTTTCTGCCTGCTTTTGTTATTCTCCAATGTCTTTAAGAAGGTATCATCATTATAATTATAGCTTATCTTGGTATCAATGGAAGGTTAATCTGACATAATGTTTTCTTTCATTATCAGAACCATACCTATTCTGAATGAAATTAAACCCTCAAAATGATTCAAACTTATCTCTGTAGTTCACTACCTAAACCACTGTGAAACTGACACTGAGCACAATACATTTAGTGTCTAGGGAACAGTTTCCTGAGTAAAGCTCTTTCTTTTTACAACAGCATATCTAATTCAATATCGCAACAAATGTACATAATTGCTAAAGAGACAAATTATTTTCTGAATTCTATTCCTGACCTTATAACCCAAGTTGAGTGAAATAAATTTTAACAATACAAATGTCAGTGTGCCTATTTGATAGATTTATATGAGAAAAGAAAAAAATGTTATGAATAGACATAAGTACACTTGACCATATATTAATATATTTTAAATTAATTTTTGAAACTAAGTAGGCTCTAAAGCACTCAGCTTAAAAAAAAAACAAAAATAAAAACAAACCTAAGAAAAGATTCTATAGATACAATTTTTCAACATCACATTCTGGCTATTTGAGATTAAGAGATTCTGTTTTAGGTAGCCCATATTTTAGACGGATAAGAAGAGTGGCAAGAACCGCATTCCTTTATAGCAGGTACCGTCCTGTACCTGCTATAAGTATTCAGTGGTTTGTTTTTTCAATATTTGCTTCGACATAGTATTTTTTTTCTTTTATCAGGGAAGGAGGTTTGCATTGGCTTCATATATTGATCTAATTTTAACTTTTTTTTTTTTTTTTCAGTCTTTACCCTTCTGTCTTACTGGGTATCTAGGCTTTCTGGAAAGTCAATACCATAGCACTAAACATGAAAAACTAGGGGAGGATGACAGGACAAACACAGGTTTTAATATTTAACAACACATTGACCAACACGTTGACCAAATACACTGATTATTTTAAAATGAATTGCCTTAATTAGGAGAGAAATATGGTTATGTGTCTCATATTTGGTTTTCTGGTACATAAGAAATATTAATATAGTTGCTAAATTGCTTTGCTCTTTAAAAGTGTTTTTGGAGCTCAATGTAATTAAAACACTTTTTTTTTTTTTTTTTTTTTTTGACAGGTTCTCACTCTGTAGTCCTGGCTGGAATGCAGTGGCAGGATCACGGCTCACTGCAGCCTCAGCCTCCTCAGGCTCAGGCGATCTTCACACCTCAGCCTCCTGAGTAGCTAAGGCTCCAGGCATGCACCAATCACACCTGACTAATTTTTATATTTTTAGTAGAGACAGGGTTTTGTCATGTTGCCCAGGCTGATCTCAAACTCTGGGGCTCAAGAGATCTGCCCGCCTTGGCCTCCCAAAGTGTCAGAATTACAGGCGTGAGCCACTTCATCTGGCCCAATTAAAACTATTAACATCAATTCCAATATTAGTATTATTGCTTTAGTATCAGATATTAGAGACAGAAATAAACTAATAGTTTAAACGTCACCATTTTGATGTTCAGTTTATCAGCATGGGAAAAGATAACTATGCTAATCCTCTACTACATCCTCATCCCCACGTTACCTGTTATTGGAAGGTTGAAATGTATGTAATTAGACAAAACTTTTATTCTTCAAACAGTGATGAGTCTAAAATACATGAATATTTCCTCAAGAGATAAAATATTGATTTAAATTCACAATATACACTTTAACAATATTAATTTCCTAAAAAGAGTTTTTTTATTAAAATACAAAGGAACAAGGCTACTAGCTACCTATAATTATGAAAATCATAAGCAAATAAAAAACTTGGAGATCTGTTAATATTTTACCTAAAATTGTAAAGATCTAATATTTTTGACTCCATTATCTTATTTAATTATTAGAGTAATCATAAAAGACAGGAATTCATTTTCCTATTTTTACATTTGAGAACATGGAAACCTGGATGAGTTAAGAATTATTTCAAAGGCAGTGAAGCAGAGGTTGAACTCATGAGATTCTGAAGGTTATGCTCTTTCCATGATATATTCTGAAGGCTTTTAGTATAGTCCGTAATAATTAAAAAATTATTAATAATCTTTAATTATAAATATTAACTAATTATCTAGGTTATTCCGCTGGGATATTTATTTTAGAAATTCTTTTTGTGCCTTTAATAAGGTCTGAAAACTATTAAATTTATTATTATACTGTGTTTGTTTACAGCTTTGCAATGCTGATGAATATTCTCACCATATATAGGCTACTGTCTTTCCTTTTTAATTAACTTTTTATTTCGGAAGAATTTTAGATTTACAGAAAGGTTGTAAAGAACACAAAAAATTCCTATATACCCTACATGCAGTTTTTTGTATTGTTAACAGGTAACATTAATATGGTACATTTGTCAAAATTATCGAGGCAATATTGATATATTTTTACAGCAATTGCTTTATTTATATTTTCTTAATTTTTACCTAATACTCTCCTTTTTGTTCTAACATCCCGTCTGTTAAACCACAGTATACTTGTCATGTCTTAAGCTACTCTTGGATGTGACTGTTTCTCAGACTTTTTTTTTTTTTTTCTGTAGATAAATTGGCTGGTACAGACTTTCTTTGTTTTTGATGACCTAAAAAGTTTGAAGGAGAATTGATCAGGTATTTTGTAGACTATCTATCAATTTGTTATTGTCTGATTACTAGTAGAATGGAGTTAAATATTGTGTGGAGGGAGACTACAGAGGCGAAATAATATCTTCTTCACATCATATCAAGGGCACACACTGTCAACATGACTTATTACTGTTGATGCGAATCTTGATCTCCTGGCTGAGGTAGTGTTTGTCAGGTTTATGCATTGTGAAGTTATTTTCTTTGCCTGCCTTCCATACCGTACCCTTTGGAAAAAAGTCACTATTCACAGCTGACAGTTAAGGGTTGGAGGGCTGTGCTCAGTCTTTTTCAGGGTAAAGAATCCACATAAGTTATTTGATATCCTTCTGTACAGGAAAGTTTTTTTTTTCTATTCTCCCTTATTTATTTATTCATGTATTAATTTTTCTATCAGTATGGACTCATATATATTTATTATATGTTGAGTTATAATCCAAAATTCCATCATTTATTTTGTTGCTCAAATTATTCCAACTTTGGACATTAGGAGCTTGTTTAGTTGGCTTCTGTAACCTTTGACATTCCATCATTGTGGTTTTTTATGGAGCATTTTCTTATTTTCCAGCACTGCAAGGTGTTATACACTCATTTTTCTTTCTGTTTTCCTTTTTTAGATTTGGGTTTAGCAATGTGCTAGGATAAAAGAAATAAAGCAAGGGAGGAGGGAATAAGGGAAGGAAATCTACATTCATCTTTCATATTCCCTGTTCCAGTCCTGGAAACAACAATTTATCCAAAGGGCTGTGGTTCTATCTAATGCAGAATGGTATTAGAAACTAAGACCTGGTATAAAAATAAGATCTGGTATAAAAAATAACAGCTTTCAAACTGAAAAATAATAAAAAAGCAAAATTGAAAAATCAATTTAGAGATAGAATATGCCAGAATTGTTTTGTTATTATTTGGTTAAAAGTAAATATTTACAGTTTAAAGGGATTTTATGATATTATTAGCATAAACTAAAAAGCATTCATATTATTACATTTGTATAAAGAGATGTAATATATCTGTTAACCAAAAATATGTCACATGTCAAGTACTCTTCTAGATGTTTGGAATTTTTCTCTCTCCTTCATGTCTTAGTTTGACTCTGCCTGTCTCTGTTTTTCTGTCTCTCTCTCTCTCTCTCTCATATACACACACATGCACACACACATACACATGCACAATCACGTATACACAAAAAAACTTTAAAGAGAAAAGGAATGTTTACAAAGCTTTTATAATCTATTCAAGGATGTGAGCATAATTTTAATATATTTATTACATAGCAAGTAAAGAGTGGTGGCAATCTGATTTACATTGTGAGAAGTGACGTGAAGGGTCACAACAATGGTACAAAGGACACTCAGCTGACAGGTGCATGTATGTCAATCTTATGGCTTAAAACAACAGTAACCATAAGTATACCTGAAGATCTTTTTAGCAATAATGCTAGTTTCTAATAACTGCATTGGCACATGATGACACACACTTAATTCTTCTAAATTATGAGTTGATATTCTTAAATGATCAGGTGAACTATTTAGGGGAAATGTTAATGATAAAATGGAATAAAATTTCCAGGTAAAAAGGATTATGCAAACCTTGATCCAAATACTGCATTTTATTTTAATTAGTGAAATAACCTGAAATGGTGTTTAATTTAAACTTTTTATAACACAGATAACTCATCTAAAATAAGTATTTTTTAAATTGTGGTGTTTTAATGATCAAATATTGGTCATAAAGCTATATTAATTTATAAAATGGTCAAATTCAAACATCAGGCCAATATCCTTGAGGAATATAGATGCAAAAATCCTCAACAAAATACTGACAAACCAAACCCAGTAGCACATTCAAAAAGCTAATCCATCACAATCAGGTATGCTTTATTCCTGGGAGGCAAATTTGGTGCAACATATGCAAATCAATAAGTGTGAGTCATCATATAAACAGAACTAAAACCAAAAACCACACAATTAGCTCAATAGATAAGGAAAAGTCTTGCTATAACATTCAACATCTTTCTGTAGTAAAAACCGTCAATAGCTAGGCACGTAAGGATCATACTTCAAAATAATAAGAGCCACCTATGAAAAAACTCACAGCTAACATCATACTGAATGGGCAAAGACTAGAAGCATTCCCCTTGAAAACCAGAACAAAATAAGAATGTCCTTTATCACCACTCCTGTTCAACATAGTACTGGAAGTCCTGGCCAGATCAATCAGGCAAGAGAAATAAATAAAAGGCATCAAATAGGAAGAGAGGAAGTCAGACTATCCCTGTTTGCAGATGACACAATTCTATATGTAGACAAACCTATATTCTCTACCCAAAAGTGCTTTGATCTGAAAAAAAAAAACCTTCAGCAAAGTTTCAGAATACAAAACCAATAAACAAAAATCAGTAGTATTCCTATAAACCAATGACATCCACACTGAGACCAAATCAGGAACTGGATTAATTCACAATTGTCAGGAAAAGAGTGAAATATGTAGGAATACAGCTACCAAGAGAGGTGAAAGATCTCTACAATGAGAATTATAAACCACTGCTGAAAGAAATCAGAGACAATAATATAAATGGAAAAACTTTCCATGCTCATTCATAGGAAGAATCAATATTGTTAAAATGGCCATATGGCCCAAAGCAGTTTATGGATCCAATGCTATTCCTATCAAACTAAAGATGATATTATTCACAGAATTAGAAAAAAAAAACTATTTTAAAATTCATATGGAACCAAAAAAGAGCCCAAATAGCCAAGACAATGCCAAGTGAAAAGAATACAGTGGGAGGCATCATGTTAACTGACTTCAAACTATATTACAAGGCTACAGTAATCAAAAGAGCATGGACTTGTACAAAAACAGACAAATAGAGCAATGGAACAGACTAGAGAGTTCAGAAATATTGCTGTCCACCTATAACTAATTGATCTCTGACGAAGCCAACAAAAACCAGCAATGGGGAAAGGACTTACATTTCAATAAATGGTGCTGAAATAACTTGCTAGCCATATGCAGAAGTTTGAAATTGAACCCCTTCCTTACACCATACAAAAAAAATCAACTCAAGATGTATAAAAGACTTAAATGTAAAACTTAAAACTGTAAAAACCCTGGAAGATAACCTAGGAAACACCATTCTGGATACAGGACTGGGCAAAGATTTCATGACAAAGGTGCCAAAAGTAATTGCAACAAAAACAAAAATTGAAAAATGATACCTAATTAAACTAAAGAACTTCTGAACAAGCACACCCTAAACTATCAATAGAGTAATTGGACAACCTACAGAAGGGAAGAAAATATTTGCAAACTACCAGTCCCACAAATGTCTAGTATCCAGAAGCTATATGCAACAAATAGGTTCACAAGCAAAAAACAACTCCATTAGAAAGTAGGCAAAGGACATGAACAGATGTTTTTCAAAAGAAGACACACATGCAGCCAGTAAGCATATGAAAACAATGCTCAACATTATGCATCATTCAGGAAATGCAGATCAAAACCACATTGAGATACCATTTCACACCAGTCAGAATGGCTATTATCCAAGAGTCAACAGCAACAACAAAAACAAGTGCTGGTGGAGTTGCAGAGGAAAGGGAACACATACAGTGCTCATGGTAGTGTAAATTAGGGTAGCCATTGTGGAATTCAGCATGATGTTTCCTCAAAGAACCTGAAACTTGATCCAGCAATCCCATTATTGGGTGTTATGATGGTTAATATTGAGTGTCAATTTGATTGGATTGAAGGATGCAAAGTATTGTTCCTGAGTGTGTCTATGAAAGTGTTGCCAAAGGAGATTAACATTTGAGTCAGCAGACTGGAAGAGGCAGACCCACCCTCAACCTGGGTGGGCACCATCTAGTCAACTACCAGCACAGCTGATATACAAGCAGGCAGAGAAACATGGAAGGACTAGACTGGCTAAGTCTTCTGGCCTCCATTTTTCTCCTGCGTTGGATGCTTCCTGCCTTCAAACAGCTTTTGGACTCTTGGACCTATACCAGAGGTTTGCCAGGGGTTCTCAGGCCTTCAGCCACTAACTGAAGGTTGCACTGTTGGCTTCCCTACTTTTGAGGATTTGGGACTAGGACTGATTTCCTTGCTCCTCAGCTTGCAGACGGCCTACTGTGGGACTTCACTTTGTGATTGTGTGAGTCAATATTCCTTAATAAACTCCCTTTCATATATGTGTCTATCCTATTATTCCTGTCTCTCTACAGAACGCTAATACAGGTATATACCCAAAATAATATAAATTCCTCTACCACAAAGACAGATGCTCACATATGTTAATTGCAGCACTATTTGCAACAGCAAAAACATGGAATCAACCTAAATGCCCATTAATGATAAAGTGGATAAAGAGAATGTGGTACCTATGCATCACAGAATACTATGTAGTCATAAAAATGAACAAGATCATGTCTTTTGTAGCAACATGGCTGGAGCTGGAGGCCATTATCCTTAGCAACTATGCTTATTAACTGGGTATTAATTAATCTGTACACCAAACTCCCATGACACACCGTTTGTCTATAAAACAAACCTACAAATGTACCCCTGAACCTAAAATAAAAATTATGATTTAAAAAACTAAAAATAACAAAACTGTCAAATTCTACTTTAATTTCTTTACCTCTCACTTTTTATTACACAATTTTTTCCTGAAATTTAATATGCTTAGTATTTTTTCAGTTATGTTAGAGGAAAATAAAATGTAATTAATAAAACAATCTTGATAAAGGAATTTTTAGACATTTCTCAATTTTACAAAAGGAAATAATAACTTCAATATTAAAATTGATTTAAAATTATAAAACAAGTTTTTATATTTAAATATTTAAAAAACTATAATTAGATTACTGATTTGTAATTAAAATTTAGTAAAACCACAATGACCATAAAACAAAATGACAAAAATCTTTGAGCAAAGAATTACTAATCTATTTATAAACTTTTGTTTTTCATACTGTGGTATTGGATTATTGTTACTGGGTATACAATAATTTCCATTTTTTGTGTTTGCTTTTGCTTTAGCCAATGGTAATAAAATACTTGGTACTATTTGGTTGTTTTTCTTCTGTTTCGACTGAAAATATTATTATATAGAGACCTCATGTAGCCAACTAACTTAAAACATTCATTTCTCTATTTATTTCTTCTTTTATGTTGGTCTTATACCAGCATTTGAAATGAAATTTTCTGGTTTGCTATCTTTTACAAACCATGTTTCCACCATCTACATATTATTTTACTAAGGGAAATAAGTATAGAAAATAGAAGTAAATATTTCCTTATGAACTATGATTTCTACTCTATTTATAGAGACTATATGTGAGATTTTATAGATGTCAGGGAAATGCTTGACTTAAATAGGGACTATATATTATGTGTAAATGAATTGTAAAGCCACTTTGAAGGAAATATACACATTATTAGGTTAGGTGAATAGGTAATTCAAAATGGAATTTATTTCTAATTTCAACTTTATTAATAGATTGTTAAATAGAGGAATGTTAAAGCTAAAATGATATCAGGGATCACTTAGTTCAATCTCCGCAAATTGGAAATTTAAGAACTATAAATGTCCTAATTTACAGAAAGCCGTACAACCAGTAAGTGACAGATGTAACATGAGACCTAGGCCTCCTGAGTTTCAGGGAAATTTAGTTTCCATTGAAATATGCTGTATTCTCAATTGTTGTTACATGCGTGTAAGGCATTGACTGTGTCTAATGCTTTATTTATAAAATGTTTAAGAAGTTTTTAGTCCTATTCAAATGTTAGTTTATTTAATTGGATTCTAGTGTAAAACGTGCGTCTAGGGACTATGACAAATTGTAGTCCTTGGAACCAGGCAAATCTACTTTATTTTGAGCTAGTTTCTAGCCAGCTGTGTACTTTTGTCAAAACTCTTAGCTTCTACTGCCACTGTACAAGACTGCTGTGGGGATTATATGTCATCTAATGTGTTTCCTGGCCTGTTTTAAGTCATTGACAATAACAATCAGTGGCAGTGATATTGTTTGTGAAATTTTAAGATTTATTCTCAAGATTTAAGTCCATTTATAATCCATAGCAGGACAACAATTATTTTAAATTAAATAGTATTAGAAAAATGCAGAGCAATTAAAAATAATTCATCTAGGGATTTAAGTCAAGGCTTAGGTGTAACAATAACAACACTTTCTTCCACAAAGTAGTCTTTTTATCTGTAAACTAAACAAATGGATGACTACTGAGATTTTTATCTCAAAAAACTCATAATTCCATAAATAAGCTTAAGCATATATCATTAAAAGAACAAAAACAGCCAGAATATTTAAAATACAGTATATGGTTTGGAAAAGTAATAATTTAAATCAGACTTTTGTATACAAAGTAAAAGATTTCAAACTAATGGTAAAATAAATCATTTTAATTTTTAAAGTTATTATACATTATTTTACTCAAGACAATTTAATTGATGGGAAAATTAAAATTGATACTGAAAAATAAAAATCGTACCAATTATTTTAATGTATTTGCATACTTATATTTATAATAAAATCAGCAATATAATTATAATCCTTGTGATCTTGGGCATGTCACTAGTACTTTTAGGTATTAGAAAATGAAAATAACAACTGTGTTGTAGAAGCTCTAGGGAAACTGTCATCATACATGCATAATGGAAGTCTAAATTGAAATTAAAATTTAAAACATTAAAATTTTTATTTGCCTAATACTAAACGTAAATTGGTGGATAGCAAGTTGGCCATATTTGTCTACAACATTACTAGTTAGTAGCCTTACCTTATGTCCAAATGATAATTCTATTTCTAGAGAATTTCATGGAGGAAGAAATGAATACATATATACTAGGATAACTATCATATTTTTATTGATTATAGTAAAAAATTGGAAATAACAAACATTCAAAGTAGGAAATCTGTCAAATAATTTATGGTACATTATTATAATTAAATATAGTAACCATTTTAGAGAAATATGTTATAGCATAAAAAAATGAGGAGGAATATATTACTATATAAATGATAAAAAACTTAACCGCCAAGTTAAAAGTTGTATTAAACAATTCTATCTCTATATATTACATGCACTTATATAATAATTTATGTGGAATACATATTGCAGTGTTCTTACAAACCATCCCTGGCATATTGGGATACAGATTATCGGTATTTTTCTGAATTTCTTAAAAATGTGTTCATATTAATAATAACAAAAAGTTTATTACCTTTTCAATGAGTCAGGTTGGGCTAGATGTCTCCTGGGGTTTTCCTAAGCCTGAAACTCTTATGGTTTTAAACTAAATGGATCATTTCAGGCTCACTACCATGTAGTTGTTAATAAATTGATTGGCAATTTAATGGTCAAAATATGCAGACATTATAGAATGGAAGCCAATTGTTTTATTTATAATAATACTAAATATTTATAAAAGAAATATACAAACAAACTCTCAAGCAAATTATTTTACATAAGCAGAACTAATATTCAACTGATAGCTACCTGTGCAGTTTTAGTGCTTGTTTATGGCTGGTTCTCATTCTGATGGATAAGGGCCTGTTCAGTTCTAGTTGCTAAACATTTAAAATTTTTATTTGCCTATTACTAAATGTAAATTGGTGGACAGTGATTTCAGTAACCAAATTTGAAAGGCAGGAATAAGTCTGTATATTGAGGAGGGGGAAATATATGGGGACATAATCAGTGAAAGTTCTAACTCAGTTGATTTGGAGGTATCTAAGTTACCTGTGGCAAATTATACTTTACAAAATGGCTGCAGAGTATTTCTTTCTAGTCCCTCCTGTTCATCAAGATCCTTTCCATTGCCCCAACAGAAGATGAAGTCCATGTCCCTTCACCTTAAACATAGGTGGGTCTTTGTGATTTCCTTGACTAAAAGGATATGGTAGAGGTAATGCAATATAACATCTGAGATTAGGTCATAAAAGGCAATACAGCTTCTTCCTGACTGTCTTGGAACACTAACTCTTAGGATTCATCCACAATGCTGTGAAGAAGCCCAGTACAAATGCAGAGGCACAATTAGAAAGCACCTGTGGCCTCAGTTGGGTTCCAAATCAATAGCTGGTATTAACTTGCCAGCCATGTGAATGAACTATCTTTGAATAAGATCTTTCAGACCTCAGAGCCAGCCTAAGTGATGCTACATGGACCAGAAATTAGACTATTCTGGAGTCTTGCTATAATCGCAGATTAATTAACAAAATAAATGAATGTTGTTTTCAACCACTAAGTTTTTATGGTCTGTTTCACAGCAACTAATAACTGATATAGGACCTTACTGGTTGTTATTTGACTTTCAATAAAAATATTTCAGTAATATATTACACAAGAAAAATGCAGAAAATTAAGCTCAACTGAATCAAATAAGTGCAAAGGCTTTTAAATGTGTTGGCTTGAAGGCAGAAACATTTTAATCTGGCTAAAGGAAAAGAGAGACATGAAAAGCCACATCTCCATTGTTATGATACTTAATTTTTTTCATACACGGAATTGTATTAATATAGTTGTCTCACATTTACATCTCATAAATGTCCAAGTTTTTTTTTATTATATTTTCCTCTTTGTAAACCACATCATCCTTCTTTTCATCCCTTTAATTGATAAAATATTTTGTAGGCCAAGTCATAATCTAAAGATTTATTTCAGCTGAGCATGAAATAAATGGTGGCTCATGCCTGTAATCCTAGCACTTTGGGAGACTCAGGCAAGCAGACTGCTTGAGTCCAGGAGTTCAAAGCCAGCCTGGGCAACATGATGAAACACTGTCTGTACAAAAAATACAAAAATTACCCTGGTGTGGTAGAGTGCACCTGTAGTCCCAGCTACTGGGGAGGCTGAGATGGGAAGATTTCTTGAACCTGGGAGGTCAAGACCGCAGTGAGCTGTGATTGCAACACCACACTCCAGCCTGGGTGACAGAGTGAGACCCTGTCAGAAGGAAAGAGGGAGAGGGAGAGAGAGAGAGAGAGAGAGAGAGAGAAAGAAAGAGAGAGAGAGAGAGAGAGAGAGGAAAGGAAAGGAAAGGAGAAAGAAAGAAAGAAAGAAAGAAAGAAAGAAAGAAAGAAAGAAAGAAAGAGAAAAGAAAGAAAGAAAGGAAAAGAAAAGAAAGAAAGAAAAATAAGGGGAGAAAGAAGAAAAAGAAAGAAAGAAAAGAAAAGAAAGAAAGGAAGAAAGAAAGAGAGGAAGGAAGGTTGGAAGGAAGGAAGAGAAAGAAAGAAAGAAAGAAAGAAAGAAAGAAAGAAAGAAAGAAAGAAAGAAAGAAAGACAGAAAGAAAGAAAAAGAATTTTCAGCAACCATCCAGAAACTACAGCAGATGGTAAGAGTTAAATTCCCAGGAGTTTAAAAAGCTGGGAAATCTTATTATAAAATTTATTTATCATAGAAATCACTACTTTGTCAATATTGCTGAAGTTCGGGTCCCTTAAAGCCAAGTTTGCTCCCTGTGAACCTCTGAGCAGCACCTGATTCTCCTGCTGCTGTGACTACTTGGCAAACAAGTTCAATACTCTGTTTATTGAGAGGCAGTAGAGCATGGTATTTAATGGTACAGACTTTGAAGCCAGACTAGCTGTGTTTGAAGCCCACCACAATCCATGTAACCTTGAGAACTTCATTTAACCTCTCCTTGCTGCAGTTTTTTCATCTATAAAGTGAAAATTGTATAATAGTGTCTAACACATTGGAATAGTATTGTGCTGTTGAGGAAACTAAATAAGCTAAAGTAAGGTTCTTAAAACCGTACCTGATACTGAAGAAATACTATCTGCCAAAGTAGTTGGAAGGCTTTCTCAAATGCTTTTTAACTTGCTGCTTTTGCTATGGAGCTTGAAAATCCAAAAATCCATATTCAGTCTTCCTTGCATTTAGAGGCATCCATTGATTTAAAGGGGATTTCAGGAAATCACTTGCTGTCCTTATTAAAGGAACAGTTGAAGTTAGTACTGGCATTCTTTCTCCCCTCCTGTCATCTTATAAAGCTGCCACATTGGCTACAGCTGCAGCAGGGAAAAGTTGAGATAAAAGCACGACCCTAAACTCTAACATCTGTCAGATGTTAAGCCCACAGCAGCAAATACTTATGAAATAAAAAAAAATAAATCAGTATTGGAGACACAGCTAGTTCAATCACAACAAATATAATGGTACAATTGCTGCAAATAATTCCACTCCTGTCTAAAATGCCTAGCTAGGACTTATAATACCAGGTACTCTCTATACATTTCATACATGTAATGTATAATTCTAATAGACCTGCTGGCATGGGTATCATTATCCCAATTCAAAGGTGAGGAAATTGAGGTTTAGGGAGATTACATAAAATTACCTAAGTTGTACAGTTAGTAAATAGAGGAATAGAAATCTGAACCAAAGTCTGTAAGAGACCATGCTCTTAACAATTATGCTTTTCAGCTACACTATAGGCATAGGAAGTAACCTAGGTGCAGAGAAGGAGAGTATCTGAAATCGCTTTTATAAAATTAAATACAAAAGTGTTCAGCAATTAAGAAATAAAGACACATTTCACTTAAATTACTTTTATAGGTATCTAAATTGATCAAATTGATCGACATTTATTCAACTTCCTATTTCTCTTTGCCCATAATAAAATAGAAAAAGAGCTATTTAAATTCTAAATTATACATTCAGTTTTTGGTGGGGAAAACTAATGGTTTGTGTCTGGAGGCATTTTCTGTATCATTTGTGAATGGGTTAGTGGTTGAAATCCACTTCCTAATTGTCATGTGTCCACCCACCACTATTGTTACAGATTTAGTGGTGATTTCAAGATCTGGTATGGTAGGAAGAGGCACTGTTTTCTAGGGCTTGGTATTTGTCCTTTCACTAAAAACAGGATAGTTACAGATTAATTCCTTTGTAACATAATCCATTTCCATCATCACTGCTCATGTCAAACTTGCTATCCTATTTTGTGATTGACCCCACAAGATTATAAATTCTTACCTTCAGAGGATATAACCTTTCTAAAAGTAGTCTGAAACTTGAAGAGATCTGTAAACATTTATGTAGGAATCATAACCACAATCCAAAATAAACAAACATAGGAAACCATTGGGGTGTCTGGTGAAGTTTAGAACAATAATAAATATGCTCACTTTGCTACTAGGAGATAAAATAATAACAAAACCAACTACACACTTAAATATGATGTTTCTTCACATGGTTATTTATTTTCCCTTCAGAAATAAATTTAACTCTTTTGTTGTTAAGATACCTAAACAGTTTTAAATCAAAAACCAAAAAAAAACCCATCGTGAAAATGAAAATGATAATTTATACGATGTTATGCATTGTGATCTTGGGCAACAGAGGCCATAAGAATGATTTAGATCAATCTGGTTTTGTTCCTTTTGAAGAGTTAAGCATTAACATATTCCAAACACATAGACATAAATTAAAATGCAAAAGGAACACAGATTTTTGTGCATTTGTTCTACATTTTTCTCATTCCTTTTACTCATTCATCCTACAATTATTTCTATAGCCTATTATCTTATAGGAAGTAAGGGAACTGAAAAGCCACAATCAAAACTTACGTTTTCCATGGACACTTAATAATCTAAAATGAAAAATAAAATGTAACAACTAGAAAGTATAACACATAATGCTGTGTTAAATATCCTAATGGTAATACAAATAGTAGCTGCAGGGTTTCAAGGAATAGAGTTCAATGAGAAAATGAAGGCAGAGAATGAAGGATGAATATGTAGAGGATGAAGACTGAGATGGGCTTGATTTTTATTTGATTTTGTAGGAAAAAAAATGGGGCACTTCTACTTTTAGGGAATCAACTTCTACACTTCTGAATGTCCTTCTCTCTGACGCTCGGTCCCATCCCTATCTCAGCAGCTGTGCTTCAGAAAAAAAAAACCTTACCATAGCAGGCCTGTAGCAGTTACCTATAGAACGTTTTCTTGTGGGTTGGGCTTTTGGCTGGCATTGGAACATTCAACCTTCAGAAAGTCTGATCCACTGATAAAGTTGGTTTGCCCGCCTGTGTCACTGCACATCTACCTTCTTTCTGGGAGTCTGGAATTTCATCAGCTACAGCTGATTGTTTGTGCCTATGCAACCATCCTCAAGTAAAAACCTCGAACTCCCAAACAGGGCTCCCTTGGCGTGGCCTCTCCCAAGAGGGAGAACATAGGGAGCCTATGCACGGACCCCTCCAGATTCTGCCTGCCCTGTTTCCTTTTCTTTTAACTAACGATCCTGCTGTGCATGCTTGCGGTGTTGAAGTTCTGTGAGTCTTTCCAGTGAATCACTGTGTTTGGATGGTCCCTGGGACCTTAAAACATCAGTCTATCAGCCCCTTTCATTTTTCACAACTCTTTCCTACCTAGAATAGATGCCATACTGAATCATTTTAGTACAGCTTACTAATCACTCTAAAGTAAAAAGAGGTTACTTAAAATAACCCTACCAATATATCTCAGCTATCTTGTATGCATCTCTCTTTTGATAGCCATACCCTAGTCATCCTTAACTCTTCCTAATTTCTCAAAAAAACTGTCTTTTTTTTTTTTTTCTTATTTGGGGTCTATTAACACTGTCTGTATGATTCTTCACCAACCTCTTCTCCCCAAATACCCACTATACACACATTTGAATGGGTGGATTTGTTTCATCTCTGAGGTCTTAGTTTAAATGTAATGTTTTGTTTGTCTTTTTCTTTTGAGACAGAGTTTCAATCTTGTTGCCCAGGCTGGAGTGCAATGGTGGGATCTCAGCTCACTGCAACCTCTGCCTCCCAGGTTCAAGCGATTCTCCTGCCTCAGCCTCCCAAGTAGCTGAGATTACAGGCATGCACCACCATGCCTGGCTAATTTTGTATTTTTAGTGGAGACAGGGTTTCACCATGTTGACCAGGCTGGTCTCAAACTCCTGACCTCAGGTGATCCACCTGTCTTGGCCTCCCAAAGTGCTGGGATTATAGGCATGAGCCACTGCGACCGACCCTAAATGTAATCTTCTTAAAGGGGGATATTTTGACTACATAACTTTAAATAGTACCTTCCCCTCTCTATTATTTGCTTATATAACACTCTGATTATTTGTTTCTCTAGCCATTTATCAGAGTTTCTAATTATACATTCAATTTTCTTTTTCCTTTTTGTTTGTCTTTGCTATTAGTCTGTAAGTTCGATAAAGACAGAGACCACTGTAGTTTTTTAATCAATGTATACTCGGTCCCTAACCCAGTAGCCTAACAAAGAGAAGGCAATTAAAAATTATCTAATAAAATTTTTTTATTCAAATATAGGAGCTAGATGTAGCTGACATTACTTAAAGCAAAAACTCCAGGAAGGAGAAGATACTGGATAAACTAGTATACATAGAAGAAAGCACATACAATACATAGAAGAAAACACATCAGATTATTTTTTAAATGTTTGTCATTCTGATAATTTTTGGATTATGTGAATTTTACTTTTAGAAATAAAATAGGATCTGTGCAATATACTGGGTATTCTTGGGTCAAAGAAATGGTACTTAAGTATTTACTGTAGTATTAAATAACGTGCAGGAAAGCTAAGTATAAGCTGAAAAAAGTAACAATTCTTCCCTGGAGCAATGTGTGCAAGGCTTACCTGGAACTAAAATGACCACTATCCAGTATGCTCAGGTATGTCTAAGACACTGGGGATTTCATCAAAAAGCAAATGTATCTGTAGGCTAAGTTTAAACTGTTGCCTAAGGATAGATCTAAATGGTCTAACAAGAAAATTGATTCCAGTTTGTCATTGCCTATAAAAGCTTGAAAATCAGTTGATAATATTTATTTATGAACTTCTATAAAAATCTTCCCAGTACCATATGTTTTAATTTTAACCATTGGCCCCAAGATCATTATAAGTACCTTTATCTACAAGTCATTTCCCTCAAGGACAAGTTTCAAAAAGACCTTTGTCAGTAAAAAAGCTGATTATGGGAAATAGTTGAAATTTCAACAACTTTAATATTTATACCCCAAGACATAATAAAGTTCTGAAATAGAACTTTTGAGGTTATGTTTTCTAACAATAACAACTGTTATCAAAATCTTTCCAAATACATAAATATATATAATCTGCTCATGTAAATCTTAATGGAATGTATTTAAAGAACAGCCTTATATGGCTCCAAAGTTCAGGTGTAAGTATGGTCAAATTTAGCAACCTTGACTCACTTTGTGGATTTTTAGCCAAGGTAAGATAAGAAACTACATCAAGCCAATATTTAGAAAACTCTGTTTAAATATTTTGTTTGAAACAGTTGGTTTTGCAAGGCATACCAACTGTATCGAAGGATCTTGAAAAATAGTTTTAAAATGTTGGAAGCAAGTTGCTGCCCTTCCTAAAAAAATGCTTTGAAAAGAATAATATTTATGTAATATGCACCATACATATATTAGATGATTCACTAGACACAAAGTGGGCACTCTAATACTTGCTGATTATTTAATTTACCTAACATAATCAAAAATATATTTTGGGAGGACAGAGGATGTTTTTTAGGGGAATGAAATATTGCTCCTCCATGTTTGACATTAAAAAATAACATCAGAACTCCAGGATATTTCATATTCATGTTGAAAAATTGGTTCAATTGTGTTCATTATAGTGACTTCTGGCAAATTCCATGTCAGTTTCTTTTCGTGAAAAATCCCTTCTACTCCTTACAAACGAATTGCACATTCAATAGAAGAAAATTACATGAAGCAAATTGTTTACCTCTTCTTTCAATGAAAGCAAAAAGAGAGGCACATAATAGGGAATCACAAATTGATTTTTAAAGTAGCTTCAAGGAGAGAAGACTGAATTAAAGTAGCTTAAAGGAAGGAAGACTGAATTAAAATTGTTGCCAGCAGGTATGAAGAAACTAGTAAACTCCCGGGATGCTAGGGTGCAGTGGGGAAAACATTTCGAGGCCAAGCTCCACACATTCCAAATTCAACTACCCAATTTCTAACTGAGTGTTCTTTAATTCCCAACCCCTTGGACCCTAGTTTCTTCCTCCATAAAGTTAGATAATCCTACATGTGTAAAAATGTTCCCAGAAATATATATATATAAGATAAAATAGAGGGTTTCATACACTCATCAATTTTTACTCCGAGTGTATCAGAGCTCAGTTTTATCTATTGCTTCTTATTTCTTATTTCTTCTTATTATTATGATTTGAGATGGGAGTCTTTCTATGTTGCCCAGACTGGAAGGAGTGACTCAATATACAATGTTCTCACCATCACAATGAAATACCTGACCCCTTCCTTTTTATGAAAAGGGCTAGAAAGTCAGTTACAAAGGAGTGACTGGATTTATAGTAGTCTCACCATAACAGTGATAACTATATGGAGTAATGCATGTGTCAATTAGCCTGATCCAGTCATTCCTCTCTCTCTCTCTCTCTCTCTCTCTATATATATATATATATGAATTGAAGTATATATATATGAAGTATATATATATATATTTCAATACATTGTGTTCTACATGATGAATATATACAATTTTATCCTTTTTTCTTTTTCTTTTTTAAACAGATGGGGTCTCACTATGTTGCCTGGAATGGACTCACACTGTTGAGCTCAAGCTATCCTCCTGCCTCAGCCTCCCTAGTAGCTGGACCTACAGGCACATACCACAACACCTGGCCCTATTTTATCTTTTAACTTAAAAATAAATACAAATTTTAAAAAAGGAGTTAGAAAAACATAGTAAACATAGCTGTATTTAAACTATATATAATGTAATTATTATTTTAACATAATGCTTGGCATATTTAAATGAATGTAACTAATTAGTGAACCTTAGGCTAATTTCTCTTAACTATCAAATTGTGTATCTACCCTCTCAGTAACCCCACATGAATATATGAAGGATATCTCTAAGTTAATATGGTCAAAACTGAAACCCCAAACATGGTCTCCCTGACTCTTCCTTATTTCAGTAAAAAGCATCATCGTCTATATATTTGCTAAAGCCAAAGTACAAGAGATCGTCTTTTTTTTCTTATCTCCTCTCAGCTTCAGCAAACTAACCTCAAAATCCAAACAAGTATCATCAAACTCACCCACAAAATATATCCCTGAATCTGTTTATTATACTTCAGCTCCTTTAACAATCTCCAAAGCCATCATAATTTCACCCTAGTTTCGCCACCCTAATTCCATTACGTGTCATTATTTTTTTCTAGTTTACCAAAGAAACCACCAAACAGATATGTTTACTGTCAATCCATTCTCCACAGGAAAGTCTGAGTGATATTTTAAAAAGAAAAAAAGTCATGACAATCACCTACTTAAATATCTCCAGTGGTTTTTCTCAGTGTTTAAAATACAATCCAGATATTTTATGTGTGGAAATCTCTACCAGATCTGTCCCCAGCCTACCTTCTCAGTGTCAACTCATATCACAAGAACACTGATCATCTAACTGTTCCTCAGACAGGTAAAGCCTTCTAAAATTTCAGGTTCTTTGCAAGAGATTTTGGTATATCTCAAAAGCATCCTTCTTGTTTTTCAAAAAACTGTTTTTCTTTTGGCATTCAGTCCAAGGGTAAACGATACCTCTTTTTGTTGAGCTTTGTTTGAACTGACCATGTAGAGAAATCAATCTGAGTTTGGATTATCTGCCTGGCATTTTTCATATTAGGTTAATAATCTGTGGTCTGTTCTTTGCCTGCTAGCCCTAGATTGCAAGCTCAATGGGCAATAGTAAATAATAAATCAATAAATCTTGAATAAATAAATGGATGAAGAAGAAACTGATAAATGCTTGGCTTATTCTATCTATCTTTCTTTTTTTTTTTTTTTGATGGTTCTTTTTTTTTTTTTTAATTATACTTTAAGTTTTAGGGTACATGTGCACATTGTGCAGGTTAGTTACATATGTATACATGTGCCGTGCTGGTGCGCTGCACCCACTAACTCGTCATCTAGCATTAGGTATATCTCCCAATGCTATCCCTCCCCCCTCCCCCCACCCCACAACAGTCCCCAGAGTGTGATATTCCCCTTCCTGTGTCCATGTGATCTCATTGTTCAGTTCCCACCTATGAGTGAGAATATGCGGTGTTTGGTTTTTTGTTCTTGCGATAGTTTACTGAGAATGATGATTTCCAATTTCATCCATGTCCCTACAAAGGACGTGAACTCATCATTTTTTATGGCTGCATAGTATTCCATGGTGTATATGTGCTACATTTTCTTAATCCAGTCTATCATTGTTGTTTCTTTCTTTCTTTTTCTTTTTTTTTTTTTTTGAAATGGAGTCTCACTCTATCGCCCAAGCTGGAGTGCAGTGGCATGACGTCGGCTCACTGCACCCTCTGCCTCCCAGGTTCAAGCGAGTCTCCTGTCTCAGCCTGCCAAGTAGCTGAGACAACAGGCGCATGCCACCATGCCTGGCTAATTTTTTGTATTTTTAGTAGAGACGGGGTTTCACCATGTTAGCCAGGATGGTCTCGACCTCCTGACCTTGTGATCCGCCCGCCTTGGCCACCTAAAGTGCTGGGATTACAGGCATGAGCCACTGAGCCCGGCCAATTCTATCAATTTTAAAGTCAGTTGAAGGCTAGGCTGTGTACTGCTTCCTGTGGCACTCAGCAAAATATTTTGTACAGATTTAGTAATCAATGAATATTTTTGATTAAATAAAATGTACCACGTCTCTTCCCCCCCCTCCCCCCCGGAGAAGGAATTTCAGCACAGCAGTTTTCTTACACCATGTAACAGGTGTGTTGTTTCTGATTTTACCTTTTTTGCTGAATTGAGAACAGGTGTGCCATTTCAGACATTTCTCCAGTTGCATATTTAGTAGTAAAATAAATACAATGAGTATTTTATATTAATGTAAAAAATAGTTTTATGTTAAATGACATATGAACATATCTACAGTGACTTAGAGATTGTGAATCATTTCACTACAGTCTTAATTTCTAAGTTAAATCCAGCAGCTTGCATGTGCTAGCTCAAGATTAATTAAGAAAGACGTATGAAAATAAGATTATTTGGTTAGCAAAAAGTCATAGAATTTTAGAGCTAGAAGAGAATTTAGAGATTGCTAAGATTTGTGATTTCTTATATTAATAAATTGAAGGCCATAAATGTTATTGGCTTGCCAAGTTTCTTACAAATATATTTAGTAATCTCTTACCAGTCTTGATAGTTACACTTCTAAAAATTCTGTGTTTACCAAAGTCATTATTAGAAAATCAAATAGTTAATTTTAAAAGGAAATCGAGAAAAAAAGTAATAAGACTGCATAATTCACAACAGCTTATGATGTCTTCATTTAAAAATTAATCAGATTCATGGTAGGAAAGAGCCACTCAAGTAGCTACCCTTTCTTAAGCATTATCTCTTCAGAGTATTCATGAATACAGTCCCATGATCTCCTGAGGCAGATTGCAATACAACTTTTCAGGTAAAAGTTGGACCAATTTTTGAATTTTATAAACCAGATCCTACTACTTTGAACTGAATGACTTTTGGATTTGTATATGCTTTGTTTTTTGTCATTTTTCCTGATCTGGATAAATTACATGTGTAATCCTCCAGTGTTTGAAAAATATTAGCAGTTAATATTGATATATTTAAGTGTACCATATATTCTTTTCTAGGCCTTAATTTCTATCATGTAAAGAGAGGTTTTTTTGCCTTCTTTAGAAATTTCAAAAATATATCTACATGGACAAATGAGCAGAAATTATCACTGTGGTTTGTTAGTAAGGGAATTAGAGAAAATCACTGTAAAAAGACCATATGTTTTAGCATTATGGTCAACAGGCATAAAACCAAGTTTTCTCAAAACTTCATTGAAGAGAAATAACAGTACATGGACAAGTAGGTCATAGCATACATTTCTTCACTCAGTCCAATGTTCTCAAATTGCACCTTTATATTTTAGCTTATGAAAGTGTTTTTAATAGATACTAGTTATAGTATATAATACATCTATAGTAGATACTGTATAATAGATATACTATTATATACTAGCTATATAAGTTATATAACTATATAAGTTATAGTACATAGTATATAATAGATACTTAGTTCAGAGAAGATAAGGTCTGCCTTCCTCTCTTGTTCTCTCTCTCTTCTTCTTCTTCTTTTTTTTTTTGTACAAAAGATTGGTCCAAAAAGATTAGCTAAGACATTTATTAATATGGAGTGTTATTTACTCAAACTAGGGCTCTCATAGGCGTTGAGTGGATAGATAGTTTTGTGTGTGCTAGATACATCAGTTTACTTGAAAAGATTGGAAATAAATAACAGGAAATTGGTTGGTGCTTAGATAATTATTGGAAAGCAAAAAATAAAACTAAGCTAGGAAAATAATAAGAATCCTTTATTCTCTGCTTCCACTCAGGGTGAATCAGGACCAGTGCAATAAATCACCCTCAATACTTCCTGTGAATGGCAACTGCTGAAGGGAAGCTTCTGCCTCTCATCATACACTGCCTCAGGGGGGAACAAAATAGATCATTACAATGGAGGCCAAAGAGTGGTAAGAAAGTTCTACTTATTTTTATACCTACTTATTTTTATTTTATACCTCTAAATAATTTGTACATGTTGGTTAAGTATGGAGAATTGAATGGGGTTAAAACTAATTGTTGTTTCTAATTTCATAAAAATATTCCAATTATGGCAACATCTAGCTGTGTGTTAAAAATTATTTAAAATAAATTCCAAGATATTCTTTTATTGCTTGAATGGAAAATGTTCAGGGCCTTATCTGCTATCCAGTATAATCTTGTCATTTTTGTGGCCACTTATGCTACAACTTTAAGTTTTTAGGATTTCCATTAAAAAAAAAACTGCTTTTCAAGAATGGGAGTAAACTTTTCATTTTGCCTTGAGCCATGGCCAACTGACAAAGTATTTATTTTTGTTCTTAAAAATATATACATTGACTTATTTTGGAAAATAACCAACTTTCATGTTTTGGCTTGAAAAAGTTTCTTTTTTTCCTAATTTAAACCCATACACGTAAATACACACCTTCTCTGATTGAGAATAAAAAACATTGGAAAAAGAAGTTATTTATGTCTCACTGCAAAAAGTTATATCCATATTGGTTTTTAGACTTGAAAATGAAGAATGAGAACAGTCAAAACAACAACAAAACAGCTTAATGTTTAGTTAGCTCCTTCATTTTACAACTGAAGAAACAGGTTACAGAAAGGTTATTGGTGCTGGAAAGGAATCAGTGGCTATTCACCTCCAGACCTATGGAAAATAAAAGACACAAAGGATCCTTGCCATCAGCTATATTGTGGTGTCTTTAGACAATAGGACCAGAATTATGTAATAGCTTCATTATATTTTATGTCATTTAGGATTATTTTAAAAATGTGAAGACAAAATAAATCTGTAACTTAGAGAAAATGTGCTTACATAATATATTTTAGAACATCCAAATACAGCAATAAAAAAATAAAGTAAAATGACTTAAGAAGGAAAATGGCTTAAAAATACAATGAAATAAATTGAAATGGCTTAGTGACTACGTGAGGTTGTCACTCTTTACATTAAAAAATTTGTTTTAACCTTGCGGAACAACTTTTAAAATAGTAGCTACATAACTTAATTTGGGCACACATTTATAGATTACAAACTTATTAGCAAGGAGTTTTGGGGAGAAAAGATTAGAATTTATTGTCAAGTATGTCCAAAAGAAAAAAAATAGAAAAAAAACCTCCTGAAATTATACCAGCACAAAAATAGAATTAGATTTAAATAAAAATTTAAGCAGTACATCTGTTAAGGAAAGTGAAATATGATGGCACTTAACTATTGATTCTTTTGTGGGAACCATGAATTGTGTTTACAATAATGTTATGTTTCAATTACACTTTTTAAAAATAAAAGGTTTATGCCTTTAAAAAGGAAGAAGACTCTCAAGAGCAAGATGTCAAATTACAGGAGCAGAACTACACGAAAGAAAGATCCCCTGCAAGGTGGATAATCACCTGATTATAGAAATTAGGAAAATAAATTAAACATGTTTTACTAAATTAACTTTTTAAATTAAAAAGTTACAAAGGATATAGGTTTTAATAGAGTGAAGTAAAGCACATACGACATGGTATTTTAGGCTTTCCTTTTTCTTTTGTTATCTTTTAGTGGCAGGTCTAGTTAATTGTTATAAATATATACAGGCCCTGTATGAGAAGGCAATACTATAGGTGAAAATAATTAAAGCAGTCCCTGGTTACAAACAGAATACTTTTTTTTTCAGTTTATCACTAGCATTTCATAAGGCTATTAATGATTCAGGAGCCCAAAGATTTTAAAATCTTTCAACATTATGTATAGATGAAAGTAAGTTACGTTTTGAAAGTATAAAGGGAAACCTAAGACAAATGACTGATAACAAAGAATTCCAGTGGCTTTGGGTTCTTTGTATTTTCTTAGATCTTCAACTGTAGTATATACTGAAAGATTACAAATTATGAATGTTAATAATCATGGCAGCGGCAGCCCGTCCGGGATGGCCACTGAGAAGATGTCGGCTAATATGGGGGCGGTACAGAGGGGCTGCGTGCTCCGCGGAGCCAGTGGGGGCCTCTCCCACTTCCAGGTCCTCTGGGCCGGAGCCCCGTGTTTCCCCGCACAGCTATAGCTGCCCAGCTGTGGTTCCAGACCCTGGCATACCTGGGCTACTGGGGGCTGGGAGCTGGCAGGAGCCCCGCCTCCTACCTAGTTGGTGGAATGGGAGCCCCTCACTCCCTGGTGCAGCTGCAGTTGCATAGCCAAGGCTACAAACCTGGGCACCTCTGCACCCTTGGGGTCCTGGGAAGCCACCCGTATCCCGCAGGTTCCCTGCTTCCATTACCTGGGTTCCTCTGCTCCCAGCACCTGCTCTGATTTCAGATCAAAGTTGAGGATGAGCTCAGGCGCTTTGGCGACCTGGCCGGTTGCGCGCACACTCAGGGCAGCACTGATATGCCAGCCCCCTGCTGCCTCAGCCCCCTCCAGACTTTGGGTGCTGACTAGCATGGGAGGGAGGCTGCTGGAGATGCCGAAGGCAGCTCAGGGTGGGCCTGCAGGCACCCGTAGACATGAACAGTCTGGGTGCCCTGGATGACATGTAGATGGCAGCAGGAGGCAGACAGGCTCCTGGGCAGAAAGGGGTGGATCCCTGGTGAAGCCTCACCTTCAGGCGAGAAATGGCCTATGGCATGGGGACCAGGCTGTAAGTTCCAGGTGGAGTCTGTGGCTTGAAGTGAAAACTTCTGGTGCTTTTTCCAGGCCTTCCCATGGCCACCCATAGACCAATTAGCATGCACGGCCTCCTATCTGAAACCTATAAAGCCACCCCCACCCCCGACTCAGCCAGACTCACAAAGACGTCCGAACGACCTGCCTGCAGATAGGAGCTACACACTCACTCAGGATCTCCTCTTTGCTAAGAACTGCATATTCCTTCGGATGACCTGCCAGTGGAAAGGAGCTACCCACTTCAGGCCTCCTGAGAGCTGTGCTGTTGCTTTATAAAGCACCTCTTGCCTTTGCTCACCCTCCAGTTTTCTGTGTACCTCAGTCTTCCTAGATGCGGGACAAGAACTTGGAATCTGCTGAATGGTGGGAATGAAAGAGTTGTAACACAAACAGGGCTGAAACAGACACCCCCCTCCCCTACCGCTGACTCGCCATATTGCAAATGACAAAGAGAGCAGAGCTGCAGCCCTTCGGAAAGCCCAGACCTAGCTCATGCACCCCTTGCCACTCCACACCTGGCTCACCCTTGTAGATCCGGGCTGGCAGCATGAGCCAGGCACAGCCTGCCAGGCCGAGTGGATGGTGGAAGGAGCCCAGCAGGCCTGAGCAAAACTTAGGCAAAGGTGCCACTGGCCGTAGAGACTTCAGGCTGGAAAAGTGACACCCTAAGGATCCTAGGACAATAATTTATTATCTTAAATAATGGGATATATTTTGTATGACACATATATGATATCCTATGAATTTCAGTCAGGGTTGTGCTGGTTAATGTTCAAAAACCTATTTTTCAGGAGAAAAGCATCCACGATTTTTTGTTGATTTCTATGGTGTAAATACTCCCAGCAAAGCCACTTTTTAACTGTCAGCAAGGCATCTTCAAATACTGAGTTGGAAGTAGATATGGAACATACCATGGGCTCTCAAAAGCAGGCGTAAGTCTACTCCAGCAACCCCTGATCTTAACTCACCATCCATGCTTTTCTGTACCTAGATTATCTTACCATTAGGTCTGGGCACAAAAACTTAATTCACCTATGTAATTTCTACATGATTTTGTTAATTACATTTTTGCTTAAGATGAAATGATCAGTACCTATGGCACCTTAATAACTTCACAAAGTCATTGAGCTAGAAAATTGTATACATGATTGAGATGCAGAGTGGCCTTTTGAAATTTTAATATAACATACTCATTTGCTTGAGAAAAAAAATTATTTTGTAATAAGACTTCATCTATTACACAGAGATGTGGTACACAGTAAAGAAGTAAACAGCTAATTTTTGGTGCAACTAACTTCATTTGTATGTTATCATTGTTCCCACTTCTTCACTATCAGTGTTTTCCAGGCTCTGTGTTTGACCCTTAAATCATATAATTCTACACACCCAGAACATTAAAATAAAATTAGGAAACTGGCTTTAATCACTACATGAAATCCTTTGGTATCAATATGTTCTGATTTTATCCTTAGCCTTAATTTTTTTGCCTCTTCTGCTGTTATATTTTTTCTAGTTTTATATGTTGTATCCAAAATCCCTTAAAATCACTTTGTAACTTATAAGGAGAGGTATAAGTATACAAATTAAGTTAAAAACCTTTCTCATACAGATGATCCTCATTACTTATGGATCGTATATTTGCAAAATTTGCCTATTCACTAAAAGTTGTTTGTAACCTTCATGTCAACACTCATGTTTTCACAGTTATTTGTGAAATGCACAGAACTGTGACAAATTTGAGTCACCTGATGCAAATGTTCCCAGATGACATCAAATAAGGTGACACCATGCCTTTCTTGCTTCAGGTCTCAGACTATAGAACAAGTATCTTTTTCAAGATGTACTTAATGCCAGGTTTTCACATTTTAATGCTTCTTGGGGCAATTTTGTTGTTTAAAATGGCCAACAAGAGTAGTACTGAAGTACTCTCTGGTGTTCCTAAATATAGGAAGACTGTGCTGTGTCCTAATGAGAAAATACATGCGCCACATAAACTGTTCAGGCATGAGTTATGTGCAGTTGGCTGTGAGCTCAATGTGAATTAATTGATAATAGAGTACATATAAGAATGTGTTTGGCCCTGTACTCACAAGGTTTATTATTTACTCATAAGGTTTATAATCTATTTGTTGAATTTCTATTTAAATGAGATACTTAGGGTTATTTTAAATTATATTTTCACTATTGCTTAAGCTGATCATTTTAAAATTATAATCTTCCTAGTTAGGAAAATGGAAATTAGAGCAAGAGTTAGTGGAAAAATCATAAAAAAAAGTCTTCATTCCATTTCTGCAACATCATACAACAAGAATTGGCCCAGAGACAGTGGAGCAAGATAGTGGAATAGAAGCCAGCACCGTTCATAACCTGTGCTGTAACACCAAATTTTAACAACTATCTGCACACAGAAAAGTACAATCATGAGAACCAAAAATTAGGTGAGCAATCACAGTACTGGTTTTAACTTCGTATCATTGAAAGAGGCATTGAGGAGGTTCTGAGAGACAGTCTTGAACCACAGATGCCACCACAGAGTATGTACATTTGGCGGAAAAATAGCACAGTGAATGGGGGTTATTACCTTGAACTCAGTTTTGCCATGTCATAGCAGAGAACAAAGCTGAACTGAGCTCAGCCAGTGACCACACACAGAGGGAGCATTTAGACCATATCTAGCCAGAGGAGAGTCATCCATTCCATTGGTCAGAACTTGAGTTTCTTGGAAAGTCTCACAACCACAGGTCAAAGGGCTCTGGGTCACTAAACAAACTGAAAAGGCACTCTAGCACTCAGGGACTGATTCCTAGGCAACTCCTTGTGCTGGGCTGAAAGCCAGAGGACTAGGGTGGCATGTGACCTAGGGAGACACTAGCTGAGGTAGCTAAAGAAGGGCTTGCATCACTCTAACCCAACTCCAAGCTGTGGAGCTCGCAACAACAAAAGTGTCTCCTTCCTTCTGCTTAAGTGGAAGAAAGCAAAGACTGGAAAGGATTTTGTCTTGCATCTTGGATACCAGCTCAGTCACGGTAGGACAGGGCATCTGGCAGAGTCGTGAGACCCTTATTCCAGGCCCTAGGGATTCATCACTGTTGACTAAACAGCCCCTGGGCCCTGAGTAACCACCAGTGATACCCAGGAAGTATGCCATGGGCCTTGTGCTCTAAGGCATGCTGGCTACAGGTGTGATCCAGCATGTTACTGGTTGTGATGGCTACAGTGAAAGACTCCTTCTGTTTGAGAAAAGCAGAGGAAAAATTAAATGGGACTTTGTCTTGCACTTTTGCTACCAGCTTGGCTACAGTGGGGTAGAGCAACATGGAGGTTTTGGGGTCCTTGAGTTTAGGGCCAGATTCTTGGACAGCACTTCTAGACCTGACCTGGGCCAGTGGTTAGCCCACTACCCTGAAGGGTGAGTCCCAGACCTGACAGTATTCACCACAAGCTGATTGAAGAGCCCTTGAGCTTTAAGTGAACTTCGGTGGTGGCTTGGAAGAACTTCCTTGTGGGCCTATGGTGGTGGTGCCCACAGGAGAGGCTCCTCTGTCTGTGGAAAGGGGAAGGAAAAGCTGGAAAGACTTTATATTGTGGTTTGAGTGGCAGCTTAGCCACGGTACAATATAACATCAAACAAATTTTTAAAGTTTTTGACTCTAATACCTGGCTTCCCGAGAGCATATGTGGACCCACCTGGGCCTGGGAGAACTCACTGCCCTGAAGGAAGGGCACAAACACGGATGGCTTAGACACCTACTGATTGTAAAGCCCTAGGGCCTTCAGTGAACACAGGTGGTAGCAAGTAGTAGTTACAACAGGTCTTGGGCAAGTTCCAGTGCTGTCCTGGCTCAGGTCTGACCCAGTGCAGTGTCAGTGGTGGTGGCCACATGTGTCCTTGAATCACTACACCCCCAGTTCCATGTGGCTCAGCAGAGAGAGAGAGAGAGAGACTCTGTTTGGGGAAATTAGGATGGAAGAATAAGTGTCTCTGTCTGGCAATCTAGAGAATCCTGGAATTTATCCAAGACCACAAAGGCAGTACCTCTACCAGCATGAAAAACCACAGCAATATTGAGGCCTAATTCTCTTTGAATACCTGGAAAGCCTTCTCAAGGAAAATGGTGACAAACAAGCCCAGACAGTGAAGACTACAATAGATACCTAACTCTTCAATTCCCAGACATCTACAAACATCAAGATTATCCAGGAAAACATGACTTCACAAAACAAACTAAATAAGGCATCAGGGACTAATCCTAGAGAAACGGAGACATGCAACCTTTCAGAGAGAATTCACATTAGCGGTTTTGAGGACACTCGAATAAATTCAAGATAACACAGAGAAGAAATTCAGAATTCTATCAGGTAAGTTTAACAAAGATATTAAAATAATTTAAAAGAATCAACAGAAATTCTAGAGTTGAAAAATCCAGTTGACATACTGAAGAATGCAGATGTCTTTTAATAGCATAATTCATTGAGAAGAACAAAGATTTAGTGAGTTTGGAGACAGGCTATATGAAAATAGTCAGAGGAGATAAAAGAAAAAGAGAATAAAATACAATGAGGCATGCCTACGAGATCTAGAAAATAGCCTCAACAGGGCAAATCTAGGAGCTATTGACCTTAAAGAGGTGGTAGAAAAAGAGATAGGGGTAGAAAGTTCATTAAAAGGAATAAGATCAGCGAATTTCCCAATCCTAGAGAAAAATATGAATATCCACGTACGAGAAGTTTATAGAACACCAAGCAGTTTTAACCCAAAGAAGACTATCTCAAGGCATTTAATAATCAAACTCCCAAAGATCAAGTATAAAGAAAGGAACACAAAATCAGCAAGAGAAACTAATAACATAAAATGGAGCTCCAATATGTCTGGCAGCAGACTTTTCAGTGGAAATATTACAGACCAGGACAGTTGCATGACATATTTAAAGTGCTGAAGTAAAAAAAAAAAAAAAAACAAAAAAAAAAACAAAAAAAAAACTTTTACCCTATAATAGTATACCAAGTCTAGTTATCCTTCAAGCATGAAGAAGAAATAAGTACTTTCCAAGACAAATAACACGAGACTTATCCTACAAGAAATGCTAAAGGGAGTTCTTCAATCTGAATGAAAGGGATGTTAATGAACAAGAAAAAAAATATCATCTGAAGGTAAATAACTCACTGGAAATAGTAAGCAATTGGAAAACACAGATTATGATAACACTGTAATTGTGGTGTATAACCTTCTCTTATCTTAACCCTTTTCCTGTTTGCCCCAAGAATACTCACTGGCAGCACTTGTGGCTGCAGTGGTTATCCTGAGATAACTGCCATGAAATATCTCACTTTTATTATTATTTTCACATGGCTTTAGTACATTAACCTTGAAAACCCTATTTATATCATTCTCTGTTTTCAGTAGTGGTCTTTCCATTTACAAAATATAGTAATTCTCAATCACTAAAAATGTCAAATCTTAGAAAATGTAGCATTCCTATGTGTGATGTTAACATCATTCTTGAATAGTTGTTGGCTGAAGATTCATTTGATGAATTTGATTTTTTTCTGAAATAGACGATTCTGATGATTCAGATAATTCTAATGTTAGTTCTGTTTAGGAAATAGTTTTTTAATACTTTATTTTCACATTTAAGGAAGGAAAGAAGGAAGAGAAGACTACCAAACAACCAGAAAAAAAAAATAACAAAATAGCAGGAGTAAGTCCTTACTTATCAATGATACCATTGAACATAAATGGGACTAAACTCTCCAATCAAAAGTCATAGAGTAGGGGAACGGATTTTTAAAAAGACTCATTGATGTGTTGCCTACAAGAAACACACTTCCCCTATAAAGAAACACAGAGACTGAAAATAAAGGGATGGAAAAACATAATCCATGCCAATGGAAACAAACAACAAAAAAAGCAGAAGTAGCTATACTTATATCAGACAAAATAGGTTTGGGAAAAAAACTACAATAAAAGACAAAGAAGGACATTATGTAATGATAAAGAAGTCCATTTAGCAACAGGATATAACCACTATAACTATATATGTAGTCAACACTAGAACACTCACATATAAAGAAAATATTATGAGAGAGAGAGAAAGAGAGAGAGAGAAAAAGAGAGAGACCTGAATACAATAACGGCTGGAGACTTCAACATTCCACTTTTGGTTTTAGACAGATGTCCCAGACAGAAACTCAAGTAAGAAATATCAGACTTAATCTGCAGTATAGAAAACATAAACCTAATAGATATTTACAGAAAATTTCATTCAATAGCTGCAGAATGCACATTCTTCTCCTCAGCACATAGATCATGCTCGAGAATAGACCATGTTAGTTCACAAAACAAGTATTAAAACATTCAAAAATATAGAATTTTTTTTTTTTGAGAGGAGTCTCCGCTCACTGCAAGCTCCACCTCCCAGGTTCTCCTGCCTCAGCCTCCTGAGTAGCTGGGACTACAGGCGCCCGCCACCATGCCCAGCTAATTTTTTGTATTTTTAGTAGAGACGGGGTTTCACTGTATTAGCCATGATGGTCTCGATCTCCTGAGCTCGTAATCCGCCCGCCTCAGCCTCCCAAAGTGCTAGGATTACAGGCATGAGCCACCACGCCCTGACAAAAATATTGAAATTTTATCAAGCATCTTCTGACCACAATGGAATAAAACTAGATATAAACAGCTAGAGGAATTTTGGGAACTATACTAACACATGGAAATTAAACAATATGAGCCTGAATGACTAGTGGGTCAATAACAAAGTAAAAAATAATTGAAAAATTTCTTGAAACGAGTGATAATGAAAACACAACATATCCAAACCTATGAGATACAGCAAAAGCAGTACTAAGAGGGAGATTTATAGCTATAATGGCCTGTATCAGAAAAGAAGTAAAACGTCCAATAAATAACCTAAGAATGCATCTTAAAGAACTAGAAAAAGAAGAGCAAATTGAACCCAGAATTATTAGAGGAAAAGAACTGACAAAGATTAGAGCAGAAGTAAATGAATTTGAAATGAAGAAAATAATACAAAAGGTCAACAAAACAAAAAGCTGATTTTTTTGAAAGAAAACAAAATTGACAAACCTTTCGGTAGACTAAGAAAGAAAAAAGAGAGAAGACAGAAATAAATAAAATCAGAGTTGAAAAATGAGACATTAAAACTGATACCACAGGAATTCAAAGGATCATTAGTGGCTACTATGAGCAACTATGGCAAATAATTTGAAAAATCTAACTTTAATTGATAAATTTCAAATGGATGAATTCCTAGACACATATAATCTACCAAGATTGAACCGTGAAGTAATCCAAAACATGAACAGACTAATAACACTTAATGAGATGGAAGCTGTAATAAAAAGTCTCCCAGCAAACAAAACCTGGGACCCAATGGCTTCACTACTAAATTCTACAAAACATTTAAAGAAGAACTAATACCAATCCTACTCAAACTATTAAAAAAAAAATAGAGGAGGAGGGAATACTTCCAAACTCATTTTATAAAGCCAATATTACTTTGATACCAAAACCAGAAAAAGACACACACACACAAAACCAAAACTGAAGGCCAGTATCTCTCAGGAATATCAATGCAAAATCTTCAATAAAACACTAGCAAAACAAATTGAACAACACAGTGAAAAGATCATTCATAGCAACCGAATGGGATTTATCCCAGAGATGTGATAAAGGTTCAAAACACTCATATTAGTCAATGTAATACATTATACCAACAGAAAAAAGGAGAAAAACCATATGACTGTTTCAACTGATGCTCAAAAATCATTAAAATTCAACATCCTTTCATAATGTAAATTCTCAAAAAGCTGGGTATAGAAAGAACATACTTCAACATAATAGCCATATTCCACAGATCCACAGCTAGTATAGTAGTCGATGGGGAAAAACTGAAAGCCTTTTCTCTAATATCTGAAACAAAAAGATGCCCACTGTCACCACTGTTGTTGAACATAGTCCTAAAAGTCCTAGCTAGAGCAATCAGAGAACAGAAAGATATAAATGGGATCCAAATTGAGAAGAACAGTTGAATTATCCTTGTTTTCAGATTATATAATGTTATATTTAGAAAACCTAAAGACTCAACCAAAAAACTATTAGAACTGATAAATGAATTCAGTAACACTGTAGGATACAAGATAAACATACAAAAATCAGTAGCATATTTATACACCAACGGTGAACAATCTGAAATATAAATAAAGAAGTAATAAAGTAATCTAATTTACAATAGCCAAAAATAAAATTAAATACTTAGGAATTAACCAAAACAAAGTGAAAGATCTCTATAATAAAAATTATATAATACTGATAAAAGAAATTGAAAAGAACACCAAAAAATGGAAAGATATTCTATGTTCATGGACTGAATGAATCAATATTGTTAAAATGTCCACACTATCCAAAGCAATCTACAGACTCAGTGCAATCCCTATCAACATATCAATGACATTCTCCCCAAAAACAGAAAAAAAAAATTCTAAAATTATTTGGAACCACAAAAGACCCAGAAGAGCCAAAGCTCTCCTGAGCAAAAAGAGGACAACTAGAGAAATTACATTACCTGACTTCAAATTATACTACAGAGCTATAGTAAACAAAACACCATGCTATTGGCATAAAGACAGACATATAGACCAATGGAATACAATATAGAACCCAGAAACAAATCCACACACCTATAGTGAGCTCATTTTTGACAAAGGTGCCAAGAATATAGATTGTAGAAAGGACAGTCTCTTTATTATAATAAATGTTGTGGATAAAACTTTATATCCACATGAAATTGAATGAAACTAGGCCCCTAACTCTCAGTGTAAACAAAAATCAAATAAAAGTGAATAAAGGCCTTAAAGCTAAGACATCAAACTATAAAACTGCTACAAGAAAACATTGGGGAAACTCCAGGATGTTGGTCTTGGCAAAAATATCTTGAATAATACCCCACAACCATAGGCAACCAAAGCAAAAATGTGCAAATGGGATCACATCAAATTTAAAGGCTTCTGCACATTGAAGGAAACAATCAAAAAAATGAAGAGGCAAAAGAGGCAAATGACAGAACGGAAGAAAATACTTTCAGACTACCCATCTCATATGGCTTGGCTCTATGTCCCCATCCAGATCTCAATTTGTACCTCCCATAATTCCCTTGTGTTGTGGGAAAGACCTGGTGAGAGATAATTGAATCATGGGAGTGGATCTTTCCCATAGTGTCCTTGTGATAGTGAAAAAGCCTCATGAGATCTGATGGTTGTAAAAATGGGAGTTTTCCTGCACAAGCTCTCTCTTTGCTTTCTGCCATCCACGTAGGATGTGACTGGCTCCTCCTTTCCTTCTGCCATGATTGTGAGGCCTCCCCACCCATGTGAAACTGTAAGTCCACTAAGCTTCTTTCTTTTGTAAATTGCCCAGTCTTGGGTATGTCTTTATCAGCAGTGTGAAAACAGACTAATACAGTAAATTGGTACCAGTAGAATAGGGTGTTGCTGAAAAGATACCCAAAAATGTGGAAGCCATTTTGGAACTGGGTAACAGGCAGGGGTAGGAACAGTTTGAAGGGCTCAGAAGAAGAGAGGAAAATGTGGGAAAGTTTGGAACTCCCTAGAAACTTGTTGAATGGCATTGACCAAAATGCTGATAATGATATGGACAGTAGGGTCCAGGCTGAGGTGGTCTCAATTGGAGATGAGAAACTTGTTGGTAACTGGTGCAAAAGTGACTCATTATGTTTTAGCAAAGAGACTGGAGACATTTTGCCCCTGACCTACAGATTTGTAGAACTTTGAACTTGAGGGAGATGGTTTTGTAGAACTTTGAACTTGAGGGAGATGGTTTAGGATATCTGGTGGAAGAAATTTCTAAGCACCAGAGCATTCAAGAGGTGACTTGGGTGCTGTTTAAAGGTATTCAGTTTTAAAATGGAAACAGATCATAAAAGTTCAGAAATTTTGCAGCCTGACAATGCAATAGAAAAGAAAATCCCAGTCGGGCACCATGGCTCACACCTGTAATCCCATCACTTTGGGAGGCCGAGATGGGCAGTTCACAAGGTCAGGAGTTTGAGACCAGCCTGGCCAATATGGTAAAACTCTGTCTCTACTAAAAATACATAAATTAGCCAGGCGTGATGATGGGTGCCTTTAGTCCCAGCCACTCAGGAGGCTGGGGCAGGAGAATTGCTTGTAGCTGGGAAGTGGAGGTTGCAGTGAACCAAGATCACGCCACTGCCCTCCACCCCGGGTGATAGAGTAAGACTCCATTAAAAGAAAAAAAAAAGTAAAGTAAATTCCATTTTCTGAGGAGAAATTCAAGCTGGCTGCAGAAATTTGCATAAGTAATGAGGATCCTAATGTTAATCACCAAGACAATGAAGAAAATGTCCCAAGGCATGTCAGAGACCTTTGCAGCAGCCCTTACCATCGCAGGCCCAGAGGTTTAGGAGGAATAATGGTTTCATGGCCCAGGCCCAGGGTCTCTCTGCTGTGTGCAGTCTAGGGACTTGGTGCCCTGTGTCCAAGACACCCTAGCCATGACTGAAAGGGGCCAAGGTTATAAATAATTATAACAGCTTGGGCTGTTGCTTCAGAGGGTGGAAGCTCCAAGCCTTGTCAGCTTCCATGTGGCGTCTAGCCTGCCAGTGAATAGGAGTCAAGAATTGAGGTTTGAGAACCTCCACCTGGATTTCAGAAGATATATGGAAATGCCTGGATGCCCAGGTATAAATTTGTTGCAGGGGCAGGGCCCTCATGGAAAACCTCTGCTAGGGCAGTGCAGAAGGGAAATGTGGGGTCGGAGACCCCACACAGAGTCACTACTAGGGCACCATGTAGTGGAGCTGTGAGAAGAGGCCACTGTCCTCCAGGCACCAGAATAGTAGATCCACTGACAGCTTGCACCATGCATCTGGAAAAGCCACAGACACTCAATGCCAGCCCATGAAGCAGCTGGGAGGGAGGCTCCACTCCTGCAAAGCAACAGGAGTGGAGCTGCTGAAGGCCATGAGAACCTACCTCTTGCATCAGTGTGACCTGGATGTAAGCGAGGAGATCATTTTGGAGCTTTAATATTTGACTGCCCCACTGGATTTTGGACTTGCATTGGGCCTGCAGCCTCTTTGTTTTGGCCAATTTCTCCCATTTTGAATGCCTGTATTTACCCAATGCCTGCACCCTCATTGTATCTAGGAAGTAACTACCTTGCTTTTGATTTTATGGCTTATAGGAGGAACGGACTTGCCTTGTCTCAGATTAGATGTTGGACTGTGGACTTTTGAGTTAATGCTGAAATGAGTTGAGACTTTGGGGGACTGTCAGGAAGGCATGATTGGTTTTGAAATGTGAAGACATGAGATTTGGGAGAAGCCAGAGGTGGAATGATATGGCTTGGCTCTATGTCCCCACACAAATCTCATCTTGTTGCTCCCATAGTTGTGGTAGAGACCCAGTGGGAGTTAATTGAATCATGGGGGTGGGTCTTTCCTGTACTGTTCTTATGATAGTGAATAAGTTGCATGAGATCTGATGGTTTTAAAAATGTGAGTTTCCCTGCACAAGCTCTCTCATTGCCTGCCATGTAATATGTGGCTTGCTCCTCCTTGCCTTCTGTCATAATTGTGAGGCCTCCCCAGCCATGTGGAACTGTAAATCTATTAAGCCTCTTTCTTTTGTAAACTGCCCAGTCTTGGGTATGTCTTTATCAGCAGAGGGAAAATGGACAAATATACCACCTGACAAAGGATTAATAACCAAGATATATAAGGAGCTCAAACAACTTTATAGGAAAATAATTTAATAATTCAATTAAAAAATGGGCAAAGTATTTGAATGGACATTTCTGAAAGAAGACATACAAATAAATGGAAGCAGATGTAAGAAAAGGTGCTCAGAGTAATGTGAATCAAGCTACAATAAAATATCATGTCACTCTAGTTAAAATGGATTATAGACAAAAGAGGCAATACCGAATGCTGGAAATTATGTGGAGAAAAAGGAACCCTTGTACACTGTTGGTGGGAATGTAAATTAATACAACCACTGTGAAGAACAGTTTGGAGGTTCTTCAAAAATTAAAAATAGAGCTACCATACAATTCAGCAATCCCACTGCTGGGTGTATACCCAAAATAAAGGAAATCACTATATCAAAGAGATATCTGCACTCCCATGTTTGTTGCAGCACTGTTGACAATAGTGAAGATTTGGAAGCAACCTAAGTATCATCAACGGATGACTGAATAAAGAAAATGTGGTATTTATACACAATACAGTACTATTCCGACATAAAAAGGAATGATATCCTTTCATTTGCAGCAACATAGATGGATCTGGAGGTCATTATGTTAAAGGAAATAAGCCAGGCACAGAAAGACAAACATCACATGTTCTCACTTATTTGTGGGATCTAAAAATCAAAACAGTTTAACTCATGGAGATAGTAGAAGAATCATTACTACAGGCTGGGAATGGTAGTGTGGGGGTTGGGGGGGAAGGTGAGGATGGTTAATGGGTACAAAAAATAGAAAGAACATGTAAGATCTAGTATTTGATAGCACAACAGAGTGACTATAGTAAAAAATAATTTAACTTTACATTAATAAAAACTAAGAATATGACTGCATTGTTTGAAATACGAAGGGTAATTCCTTGAGCGGATGGACACCCCATTTTCCATCATATGATTATTATGCATTGCACGCCTGTGTCAAGATATCTGATGTACTCCATTAATATATACACCTGCTAGGTACCCACAAAAATAAAAACAAAGAATTGTCCCAAATCATTTTTAGCAAATGCAGTTATCAATTGGTTAGTTTTCTTTCTCCATTGATGTTCACATTCTCCACAAGACTGAAGCTATTCCATTTGTTTCTTATTTTTGTCAACACACTGTAACTATGCTGACGAACTATCCTGTGTCTAATTATTGTGCTTTGTACCCGAGAGAGACTGCAAGGACATAGACACCACCATCACCAGGACAAAGCAATTCAGGGAAGAATGTCTTTGAATTCAAATTTCAATCACATTATTTTTTAATCATGAGATTAAAGATATGGACAAACAAGACCTAATGTGGGACCTGGAGACAGTGAGAGTGGGGTGTTTTGCAGATGTTTAAAAGTTACTGAGAATTACGTGTATATACAAAGAAACTGTGCCTATTATCTCTCTGTGAATGCCTCCAAAGCAGCATTACCCAGACATATGGAACAGGTTTTTCTCTTCCCAGAAAGAAACTAAAATTTAAGAAGAAATAGAACAAGCAGACAGAGAATTCATTTATTGTATGGCTCCTGTGGACCATATTGCACAGGGAATGACACTGGGTAAAACCCCCATGCAAAAGTGGCTTTTATAACTAACCAACTCAACCATATGTTTAAAGCATTTTAAATTTCCCTAGAGTTGACTCTCAGAAATAAAACCAAGGACTCTTTAGTTAGTCCAAAGAAGTTTAATGTAACTTTGAACAAATTTCTTACAGTCAAACATTTTCAAGGAGCCCAACGATCTACTAAAGAATTGAGATTACACTGCAACTCCTAAATCAGCAGAGACTATAATTATGCTTTAATTTTTTTATATCACCTAGCACTCTAGGGGAAAATTCTGGGTTTGTTTCAAAGGTTAGAAGGTAAGGATCAGAAAGCCTTTTCAACGGAATATTTTTTGTTTCTTAAATAGAAGGCACACATACACACAGATCGATTATTTTTCATGTGATTCAACAGCAACATATGATTTCCAGCGAACATCAATTTTTTAATAAAGGATGAGTGCAATATAAAGAGCAAAACTATTAAGTATTGCACAACAAAAGAAAAACAAAAGATATTTAGTACTTCTTTATGTACTCCAAAAGAAAGACTAGAACCATACCTGCTTTTCAGTTGTTTGATTGCCCCCACTGTATATATTTGCCCTTGTTTATAGTCTCCAAAATTTTCCTTCTTGGCAAACTTCATTTTCAGCAGCAGAAGGCAAATTAGACATGTAAAGGAGTCTCAGAGCAAAGCATGACAGAATGTCTTTGAATTCAAATTTCTCATTGTTGTTTTAATCATGAGATTAAGGATGTGCACAAATAAGACCTAGTGTGGAGCCCAGAGACAGTGAGAATGGGGTTTTTTGCAGATGTGTAAAAGTTACTGAGAATTACTAGTGGACAAACCAAGATTGTTCCTGTTATCTCCAATAGAATGGACAAAAAATAGAAAGCTAACTTATTAATAACTATATTTATTATAAGTGATTTGGATGTATACTATATTTTTGCTGAAATTAAACAAAGGTAATTTATAAATTGATACATAAATTATCATGTTTTTTATTTTCTCAAAAAAGAAGAAAACCCCTCTGGGATAAAGGGGAGGGTTGAAAATATTTTATAAAATGAAACTGTCTGGGTTTTTATGGTTCTGTGTTTTACGTTTAAGTCTTTAACCCATCTCGAGTTAATTTTTGTGTAAGGTATAATGAAGGGTTTCCATTTCAGTTTTCTGCATACGGCTAGCCAATTTTCCCAGCAACATTTATTAAATAGGGAATCCTTCCCCCATTTCTTGTTTTTGTCAGGTTTTTCAAAGACCATATGGTTGTAGATGTTATTTCTGAGGTCTCTGTTCTGTTCCGTTGGTCTATATGTCTGTTTTGGTACCAGTACCATGCCGTTTTGGTTACTGTAGCCTTGTGGTATATAGTTTGAAGTCAGGTAGCATGATGTTTCCAGCCTTGGTCTTTTTGCTTAGGATTGTCTTGGTCATACGGGCTCTTTTTTGATTCCATATGAAATTTAAAGTAGGTTTTTCTAATTCTGTGAAGACAGTTGATGGTAATCTGATGGGAATAGCATTGAATTGATAAATTACATAGGGTAATATGGCCATTTTCACGATATTTATTCTTCCTATCCATGACCATGGAATATTTTCCATTTGTTTGTGTCCTCTCTTACTTCCTTCAGCAGTGGTTTGTAGTTATCCTTGAAGAGGTCCTTCACTTTCCTTGTAAGCTATATTCCTAGATATTTTGTTCTCTTCGTGGCAATTGTAAATGGGAATTCATTCACATAAGCATGGGCAAAGACTTCATGAGGAAAACACCAAAAGCAATTGCAACAAAAGCCAAAACTGACAAATGGGATCTAACTAAACTAAAGAGCTTCTGCATAGCTAAAGAAACTAGCATCAGAGTGAACAGGCAACCTACAGAATGGGAGAAAATTTTTGCAATCTACCCGTCTGACAAAGGTCTAATATCCAGAATCTACAAGGAACTTAAACAAATTTACAAGAAAAAAAAAAAACAAACAACCCCTTCAAAAAGTGGGCAAATGATATATACAGCCACTTCTCAAAAGAAGACATTTATGTGGCCAACAAACACATTTAAAAAAAAGCTTATCGACGATCATTAGAGAAATGCAAATCAAAACCACAATGAGATAACATCAGTCAGAATGGAGATTATTTAAAAGCCAGAAAACAATAGATGTTGGTGAAGCTATGGAAAAATAGGAATGCTTTTACACCATTGGTGGGAATGTAAATTAGTTCAACTATTGTGGAAGACAGTGTGGCGATTCCTCAAGGATCTAGAACCAGAAGTACCATTTGACCCAGCATTCCTATGACCAAGTATATACCCAAAGGATTATAAATCATTCTACAATAAAGACACATGTACCCATATGTTTATTGCAGCACTATTTACAAGAGCAAAGACATGGAACCAACCCAATGTTCATCAATAATAGACTGGATAAAGAAAACGTACATATATGCCATGGAATACTATGCAGCCATAAAAGAGATTGAGATCTTATCCTTTGCAGGGACATGGATGAAGCTGGAAACCATCATTCTCAGCAAACTAACACAGGAACAGAAAACCAAACACCACGTGTTCACACCCATAAGTGGAAGTTGAACAATGAGAACACATGGACACAGGGAGGGGAACAACACACACCAGGGCCTGTTTGGGGGTGTGGGGCAAGGGGAGGGAGAGCATTAGGACAAATACCTAATGCATGTGGGGCTTCAAACCTACATGACAGGTTGATAGGTGTGCAATAAATGACCATGGCCCATGTATACCTATGTAACAAATCTGCATATTCTGCAAGTGTATCCTGGAACTTAAAGATAAATAAAAAATAAATAAAATGAAACTGTCTGGAGTTGTTACTGCCTTTAAAAGGGATAGCACAGCTTATGTTGATAAAAATTGACATATATAGCCTTTCCTTACAATGTATAGAAATTGGTAGGAAGGAAGGAAAGGGAAAACTATTTTTAAAGCCTTTCTTATTCCCTCTGTGTTGCAAAAATGAAAAGATCACCTACTCTAGGACTCTATTCTTAGAAGGAAGGAAAATCTTGGGGTAGTGGTCTTTCATTTTAGTAAGAATATTAATGATTACAGTTATCCTGTAAATCTCCTCCCCCATTTTTAAGGCAAGATAATAATAATTTTTAAGTCACAAAAATTTTGTGAGAAATAAATAATATTTTGTATACTAAACAAATTTGTATAAGTTAAACAAGGTATATAATTATTTGTTATCAATAGAAACAGATAATTACAGAAATGATCATAGCACAGTTCCCTGGGAATTGTTGCCCAAATGATATTTCTCCAGAATATCTGAAAATGATCTGTGAAAGACCTATTCAGTGATTCTTTTTATCTTTTAGTTTTGAGGATAATACCAATCTTTTGGGTTAGAAATGGGGTTAAACTATAAAGTATTTCACAAAGTTGTAAGCAGAAAGCTAGAAGAAATATGTTTATACTGTATGGGCTAATGTCCTAAATTTATAGAGAAAAAAATTATTCTGAACATATAAATTATAAACTCTAGATATTTATAATACAGATTCAGGGTTGGTAAACACTTTCAGAAAAAGGTCAGATAGTAAATATTTCAGGCTTTGTGGGTCCCATATTCTCTGTGGCAACTACTCAACTGTGCCATTATGGTATGAAAGTAGCCATTGAGAATGTATTGAATAATGACTGTGGCAGCTTTTCAGTAAAACTTAATTTATAAAATCAGGCAGTTGTCCAGATATAGCCTATGGGCCATAGTTTATCAATCCTTGCTATCGAGTAAAACTAATAGTGTAATTCTGGACAGTTTCCTGACATCAGACCAATATAAGACAATGGGATCTAATAGTCCATCATGGGCTAGCATAATCAGGAATTCTATTAGAAACGAATTCCTTATTTATTTATTTATTTAACAGGTGTTGAACACTGCTTAGTGGCAGATACTCTGCTATTACCTAGGTAAAACAGACTTCCAGGGCGTGGGCTCTGCCTTCCAAGAAACATGAATTGCATGATGACTGCTTGTTATACTTCAACAAAACTATAATGGAGGATAAAAAAGTATTTAAAGGCCCAATTAGAATGATCGAAGGATTATAAAGGCTTCTTTATGAAGATACACTTATATAATTAAGACCCTATAATCTGGAAAGAATAATTAAGAGGTGATGTGTCTGATTTTATTAGAATTAACTTTATAGATGCTAATAGGTTACATGTGCTAATTTGTAGTCAAGATAGCTTGGGGAGTCTCTTGTTGAATGTTTTTGTGACTGCTAATTAAAAGACACAAACAATAATATGTCAGAAACAGAAATCAAAATTATAAGAAAAGTTCAATATTCAAAAAATCACATTTTTTGTGTGTCTTACAGAATTCTTTTATACACATATAATACTTTTTGCATTGCTATTATCCTAGATAAGATGTAATCCTTTCTCAATTAACATTGTAGCATATATTCTCATGTTGTCAGTCATTACAATGATCATTTCATTCAATTTTGGAATTCTCTTCTGATGTCTTTGACTTTTCACTGTAGAGTATATATTACCCTTTGATGTATTTCTATGTCATTTTTTTTTTTAGCACAGACTTCTATCCACTGATATTCAAATCTTTATCTCAACTATCTTTTGCATTTTCATAGGTCACATATACCACAAACTCAACATGTCCTGGAAATAAACTATCATAATCGCTGTTCAAAGCTGTAAATTCCTTCTTTATTCCTCATCTTTCCAAATAGTGATATCATAAACCAAATTCTCAAGACAAGATTCAAAGGATTACTTTAGACTCTTTGTTTTCCCTCTCCTCTGATTCTGCAAATAATTGCATATTAAATTCTGTCATTTTACCCCCTAGGAATCAGTGCCTTAGTGTAGACAGTAACATTGCTTGCAGTGATTATTGCAAAAATCTCCTTTCTAGCCTCCTGTCTTCAATTCATCTTCCTCTCTGCTGCAGAATTATCATTCTAAATGTACATTTGATTATGTAATACCTAATTAAAATCCCCCATTGACTGTGAATAATAATCCAGACTATTTAATCACAAGTAAAATAAATCTTACCAAAACTGGATTAAAATTATTGGGGCTTTACCAATTTAGAAAGATGTTATGGAGATGACATAATCCCTGGCTTGAATGATGTTTTAAAATTTATTATCTCTGATTCTTTGTCATGGTTTTCTCTGTCTGAGTCTCTCTCTCTCCCTTTTCTCTATTTTTTCCTTCAAAAAACTTTAAAACACTTGATTTTTAGTTAAAGAATTAAAAGATTCAAAAAACACCTAAAAGTAATAGGTTTCAATACACAATTTGGAAATTATTGGAAAATTCTGCTTGGTTTTGTTCTCTGTCTCTTTCTCTGCTTTCTATCTTTCTCCCCTTTCATTATTAAAACATCCTAACCAATTCAATAAATGAGTATTTAAAAAGCTAAAAATACATCTAAGTATCTAGGGACAAAAGTTTATATAAGAAAGAAAATAATATGTTTAATGTTAGGAAAAGGAAGGTAACAGTCTTAAGATTGCTCAAGCTAAGATCACAGATATGTCTAGACTGAGCTAATTCCCACTGGAGGCTCCGCATTGTTAGACACTTAAGTGATTTTGATTATTTTTAGACATAATTTGTGTAAATTGATGTATATAATTTATATCGCCATTTGAGTTATTCTAGTTTCTTTTGATTATTTCTTTTTGTTGTTGCTGTTTAGCAAGTTAGTTAACATGCACCACAACTTCCTTCAATCATATGCTGTTAGATAAGAATATTAATAACAACACATGAAAAGTGACTTGGATATTAAAAATATATACATAGACCAATATAAAAATTCAGAAAATGAAAGTTGTATATACACATATATACACAAACACACACACCGCTAACTTATTATTTCATGTATCTCAAACTATTTATTAGTGTTATATTCATGATTGCTAAGTTACTATTCTTAAAAGAAGTATACTTGAGAGTGCTAATTATTATGGGAATTCAATTCTCTGAAAATGAAGAAAAAGACCATTTTTAATTATAAAATGCAATTCCAAAGAGTTGTTTGTTAATTTTTTTGCGCCTCACACTGAGTTCTGAAGACATCTCTTACATAAAAGGAAGGGATTAATTCCAGTCTTGGGGCAGTCTTCAGGGAGAGACAAGAAATATCAACTTACATTTAAAAAATGATGTTTCAGGGCCCTTTTGTTGAGGCCTCCACGCACCAGCTGATATAAGATGTTGAGTTACATATAAACACAGGGAAGAAGGGCCTGCACATATCTCTGTAGTAGATCTCTGCCTGATTGATCCACTAGACAAATAAGTAATACTGTGTTAGTGGATAGCATTCATTGGTTCCCACAGTAATTCAAGTATTTATAGACATGCTTTTTCATTTTCCTTCATACCGAATCTTGAACCACTTAAATCCAGATTATACTAATTATCAAGTACAACTGTTTGAAATCAGGGTTCTTTGACAATACTTTAAAAGTTTTCTTTTAAACTATCATACGCATAGATGCTCAAAGACACCAGACTTGAATTTTCCCATGTAAAAATTATGTGAAAGACCCCTCTAATGGTCTACCTCTTCATATGTATAAAAATGTTATTATAGTTACAAAAAGAGACACAATCTGTTGCTTAAACAGTATTGTCTCCTTTTTAAAAATGGTTATTTTGAAATAGAATTGCAGCTGAATCATTAATAAATATCGCTACATAAAAATTTTACCACAATAAGCAAGCACCATGAGCATTTACCTGTGATTATTATGTTAGTACTTTACAATCCCTTAACTGAATAATTGAATAGGGATAAGAATACATCAATATATTTAATTTATTAGTCATCGTATTTGTCTGATTAGGCTTTATTTTTAACATTATAATACAGGGAGATCTTTGTGGAAATAACAATGAATATTTGCTACAACTGGGTATGACAGAGGTATGCTAAACTGGACCATATAGCTATAAATAAAAAAGAAAGGTAAGGTCATGTGAGCATCAGATTCATTTATATGGCATTAATTAACTGAATAATTACTACATTTATTTTAAAAATTCCTATGAGATAAAAAGTCATAGTAGATACAAGGTAGGTCTAAAACATTAACTCTGAACCTGAGAAATTAAAAATGAATAGCAACAGAATTAACAAAAACTTGGGTAATGCTATTAATTACCCAGGCGTGGTGGCACATGCCTGTAATCCCAGCTACTCGGGAGGCTGAGGCAGGAGAATCCCTTGATCCTGGGAAGCAGAGGTTGCAGTGAGCAGAGATCACACCATAGAACTCCAGCCTGGGCGGCAAGAGCAAAACTCTGTTTCAAAAAAAAAAAAAAAAAAAAAAAAAAAAAATAATGGTGAAGCATAGTGTTTTCAAACCAAATTATTGGAAAACTATGGTTATCAGGAGCAATACAAGGATTTTAAGACTTCGCTTTGAATTTTATGAATACTACATATGTGTGTGTGTGTATAACTTAAAATTATATGAAAACATTCAAATTTATAATTTACTGCATATTAATACATTAGAGACCAGTAATATGTTAACTCATGCTTCAAATTTAATTGGCAAAGGACTTCTCATTTTTCTCCAGACCTTAAAATAAACGTCTCCAACTGTAAACCACATTAAAACGTATTTGAATTTATTATAATGTGTCATGGGTCTTCATGTGAATTTACATCTTCACATGGGCACCCATGTATTAATAAAATGTATGCATGTGTTCACGACCTGAACACACATACACCATGTTTCATTAAATGCTCAACGAGTCTCAGCCATGTATGCTGAGAGAACACTCATGTCAGGGAATAATAGTTTTTCAGTAAGAAGTAAACATCTAATATACTATGTTATCATAGACTTGTATCATTTCAACATTTAGAAATTCTATTTATTGTGTATTACTTACATTATTTTAATATTTAGGGTATAACGTTTGAGAGCAATTGATTAAATTTGCACTTAGAACTTATTATTTCACTTTAGTGTTTCTAAATCAAGTTAGCTCAAAATCACGTGATTTTGTTTTTTTTTTTTTTTTTTTTGAGACAGAGTCTTACTCTGTTGCCCAGGCTGGAGTGCAGTGGCGTGATCTTGGCTCACTGCAACATCTGCTTCCCAGGTTCAAGTGATTCTCCTGCCTCAGCCTCTTGAGTAGCTGGGATTACAGGTGCCTGCCACCACTTCCAGCTAATTTTGTATTTTGTAGAGATGGGTTTCACCATGTTGGCCAGACTGGTCTCAAACTCCTGACCTCATGTGATCTGCCTGCCTCAGCCTCCCAAAATGCTGGGATTACAGGTGTGAGCCAACATGCCCAGCTAAAAGTAGGTGATAATGCCAAGAGATCTTAAACAAGATCCAGTTACTATGTTTTAAATATACAGAATTTTGCTGGATGATATATATAAGAAACTTATAGGATTGCTCTATGTAAGGAGTCCTTAGTTCTGGAAGGGATAGAAGTTCAATTTACTTTTGGTTGTATTGTATTGCATTGCATACTCATTTACAACATAGTTATTGTTTAAAATTATTACCATGTGCCTCCTGTAACAAATTAATTGTCTAGTGCAATGTGGCAAATGTTATAATTATGGATTTTTTTAATGTAATCTGAAATGACTTCATCGTAAGACTCCAAGGGTTCTTGAATCTAAACAACCAATATAAAGTAAATTTGAATCTGACATGCAAATGTTATTATCATTAACCATTTATATAGGAAAAAATATATTTTTTGTCAGGAAATACATTTATAAAATGCATTTGAATATTTTCTTTCATATATGTCATCTGAGAAAATAACTTTTAACAGCCATTTCCCATAACTGCTATAAGGCTTAACTTTGTAACATACTTTCACTTGTATTGGATCATTTAATTCTTCCAAGAAAAAAAAAATGTGAGGTGGGAATTATACTCATTTTACAGTGAAGAAAACTGAGGCTCAGAGAAGTTGAGAACTTCTGGTAAGACCAAAATATACTGTTCTGTTTTTCACAATATTTCCAGGGATGGAAGATGTACATATGAAAAAGAAATAGCACAAAATTGAAAGTACAAGACAAGCAAGCACAGTACTTTCCACATAAGAAATTGAGAATTCTAAAAATAATAAAGGAATGGAAGTTTTATTCCAGGAGCATCATGAGATGGACGTATGGCCTCAGCGCTCTGAACAGCAGCACTGACACCTGTTAGAACCTCTGCCTTAGTGCCACTAGATGTTTTTTGGGTTCCTTGTGTCTAAGTCCATGTCTTGGGATTCTTTCTACTATCCCTGTTCTGTTAGGATCAAAACCTTACCTGTCTTTGCTACTTACTGCCTAAAACACAATATGTATTCATTAATAAGTATCTGATAAATAAATTTCTGTTTTCTGTCATCAACCTAGAGATTGGTTTTATTTTCCTGAACCCTAAACAGATTATTGAGTTGTAGTTACGGATGCCATAATTGTTCTAATGCCAATAACTTATCTGCCCTCTTATATTATACATTGTTTTCTCTTCACCGGTCCCCCACTGTCATGTTAAACTAACTGATGAAAATATAATCTATTCCTTTATGTATGTAACCTTCTTCACCTCTGCAATGCCCACCAATTTTTATTTGCCTTTTCTGAACTATTTAGGATATCGCATTCTCTCTGCTGCTCATGACTTCCTGAAGAGATTACAGCTTACTTCATTTACCAAATATCCATTGTGCTCATTTTATAAGTTCAATGCCAGGCCAGCTGTACCCCTAATGTCTCATCTGTGCTTATTTAAATAGACTGTGTCCAGGCCTGTCCTCAATCATGACACAGAGTATAATTTACCACACTGATTTGTGCAAAGGCATTCCTCCAAGTGATATTTGACAAGAACATAAACATTATAGACAGCATTTTTTCAAACCTTTAGTATTCATGATGACACCTGACATTCTTGAGAATCACAAAGAAAAAAATGAATAATTTATCTTTGAATATCATTTCAGTAGAAGGATCATCTTGCAATGCTATATTTAGTAAATTAATATCAGCATATTCTCACAAAAGTGTATATTCTGATAATTATGCTTTTCCTATATTCCGCCTGAAATATAGGTAATGTATGATGCTGTTAATACATACACAATAGCCTGCAATGGATAAAAGTTGTTTAAATTCCTCTAGAATTCCCCACCCCTACCCCCCTGCCAACCAATTCTACTCCAAGAGGAATCTCTGCCTCTTTTTTTTTTTTTTTTTTTTGAGATGGGATCTCACTCTGTAGCTAAGTCTGTAGTGCAGTGGTGCAATCAGAGCTCACTGCAGCATTGATCTACTGAGTTCAAGTGTTCCTCCCGCCTCACCCCTCTGGCCCCAGCCTGTAGCTGGGACTATAGGCACTTACCACCATTCCAAGCTAATTTTTAATGTTTTTATGTGGAGATGAAGTCTCATTATGTTGCCCTGGCAAGTCTTGAACTCCTGGGTTCAAGGAATCCTCCCACCATGGCCTCCCAAAGTGTGCGATTACAGGCCTCAGCCACCTGGTCCTGCCAAGAGTAATCTCTACCCCACATTTTATGTTTGCATGTCCCTTATTTTTATTTATGTATTTATTTTTGAGACAGGGTCTCAGTCTTTTGTCTGGGCTGGAGTACAGTTTCATGATCTTGGTTCACTGCAACCTCTGCCTCCCTAACTCTAGCTATCCTCCTGCCTCAGCCTCCTGAGTAGCTGGGACTACAGGCACATGCAACCATGCCTGGCTAAGTTTTGTATTTTCGGTAGAGGCAGGGTTTAAGCTTGTCCCTTATTTTTAGAGTGTTTTATGATATAAATAATATAATATTTTAAGTCTTGCATGTTTTTGAAGTTAAATAGTATATTGTGTGTAATCTTACATTAACAAATTAATTTTCATTTAAAAAAATATTTAATTCTAAATACACTAAAATTTATTCATCCACTCTATCGATGGATTTTTGGGTATTTTCAAGGTTTTATTGTCTTAATGAAATGGTAATATAAATATTCTTATGGTCTTCTGGTGCACATATGTTCCCTTAGGTACCAATCTAGGAGACATATTGCTTGTTTCAGAATATACAAATATTAAAATTTACAAGATAATGCCAAATTGTTCTTCAAAGTAGTTGTAGCAATTTACACTCACACTAGTAATATACAATTAATACCAATGTTTTTTTCCAACATTTTTTATTGTTGAACTTCTTAACTTACGAAAATTAAACAGTAGCACATTGTTGTCTTGATTTAAATTTCTCTAATCTCTAATATTGGTTATACGCATTTACTTTCAGAATACATATTCCTATCTTTTCCCCACCCCAAAAAACACACAAAAATGAATTCCTCTAGAATATCTGTAATTAAATACTGTGCTATATAGGTTTGGAGTTGTAGCTGAGTACGGGTCAACTTTATGAAAAGATACTCACAAGGCTATTGCTTCTTATTGTATGTTTATTATAAATCAGTAGAGGAATAGTAAAAACAACATTATAGTAAAATTTTTGGTAATGGTCTTTCTTTAGGATTTTAAAGAATCAAAATAAAAATAAAGCAAGTAAAGATGGAAGTAGATAAAATACAAATGGGGACCATTTACTCCATTATAATATTAAGACATTGACTAATGGAAAATCATATTAATTTTTTTGCATGGTACTAAAAGAGGAAAAAATGTAAACATATTTCACCCTTTAATGAATCAAGCTGCATGTTCTACTTTCAAAAATATGTAATTTTCATTATGGTGCCAGAAAGAAGTTAGCGTTATCATCTATACTTCTATTGTCTTTTTAAATATATGTAGCCAGTGAACATTGAGTTAAGACTTTTCTTGTATTTAACCAGGACCAACGAGTAGAACATAAAACATGAATTCGATCACCAGACATTATTTTAAGACCATCTTTAAATAGCCTATATGAGTTAATTGTATTTAAAATGAATGGCTTGGTTAATTCACTGAAATCAACGGTTTTATCTCTCCGTAAAGCAACAGTATCCCAAACTTGTACCTAATGAAAATGTACATGAGGAACTTACTTAAAATATTTATTCTTCTACCCTCTCTTAGTGAGTCTAATTTGACAGATTTGGGGCTTGGCTCAGAAATTTGTACTTTCGACATGAGCTCCAGAATAATGGTGTATCAGCTACACTTTAAAAACGATTTGGGGGAAATACTATCAGAACAGACTTTCTCCCTTTGGTAGAGTTCCTAACAAGAACCCTGAGAGAATCATGTCACTGTATTACAACCTGGGCTACAGAGCAAGAGGCCATCTGAAAACAAAACAAAACAAAACAAAACAAAAACAACTCTGAGAATTCAGAGTTGACTAGAACCTGGGGAAGCCTTCTAGATTGTTCTCTACATTTGTAAAAGAAATAAATGTAAGAACTGCTCTAGAATGTACATTCTCAACCAGAGTGCCAGCTTCATGAATGCTGAGATTTGTGTTGGTTTTACAGCTTGAATGTCTCTGCCGAAGGCTTTCAATAAATATTTGTTGAAAAAGAAAGGAAGAAAGAAAATGAAGAAGGAACGAAGGAGGAAAGGAAAGAAGGAAAGAAGGAAGGAAGGAGTTAATGAAGACTCAAGGTGATTCTTAACTTTCTAATACAGAATTCTCTTTTCGTTTCCTCCTTCAATCCAGATAAATGACATGCCGTGATGGAAAATCTGAAATATGTTTTGTGATGCCTTTTTGCTGCTACTACCAACAGTAAACTCAAACTCTTGAAACTGGTTTTTTTTCCTCTTTTTCTGCCATGCCCCATAGTAATCTTCCTTGCTTGCATGTTCCACTACAACTCAGTGATGCTTCAGATATGCAACTAAACTACTGCACAATAAATATAAAGCTAGGACAAGTCACTTAATTCAGGTTTAAATATACAAATTTTCCTTGCAGTAACTTAAAATTGATACTTCTCATCCACTGATTTCCTGTCAGGATCTTGCCTACTAAGGGCCATGATTATTGTGGCTGGCATATCTCATTTTTTCCCTTTAGTTAGGCAAATTACTTTAGTGACACTCTTGGTAGAGACTCTTTTGTTTGGTGTCTGGAAGACGGTCTTTTTTTTTTTTTCTTTTTCCTTTCCCAGTGTTTTCTTTATAATTTTTGTAGTCTACTGTAATGGGTAAGCTTGGACTATAAACTCAGTTTTGAGTTCTGAGACTGACTTATACTCTTAAAACTTAGATGATTTATTTTATTTCGGAGACTTTAATTTCATCATCAGAAAAATGAGAGCACTGCCAGAGAAGACCTCTAGGATCTCTGCTATTGAATGATTGTGTGATTCTCTGCAGAAAGGTAATTTTGCTTGTAATGCTGACCCTGATTCTTCAGACTCACTCTCTTACACTGTACCCTCGACTATTTGTTTTCTTGTTCTCTATTAAGTACAAATAAATCCACAGATTTTCTGAAGGTAGAAATCATAATTCTCTACCATTTTTGGGGAGGGATGATATTTTGTCACCACTCTGTAGGAAACAAATAGTTTAGGATTCAGAGGGGTTTTGACTTTATGAACTTGAGAATAGCTCATGTTGAACATAAAAATTTGTATATTCTCTGACGCTCTTTACGATCTTCTAAAATGTTCAGCAACAGTGAAATTATCCAGCCTTGTTATCTGAAAAAAAAAACTCTGAGAAAACAATTACACAAACTTTTGTTTGTTGACAGATGGCTGACAGACACAGTTATAGGCCCCTTGTTCTTTTGTTACTTCTTTTGGAGCAGTTTAATCATGTTAAATAGTAAAGTTTTCACTCTGCCAGCCCAGCCCCCAGTACATCAAGGTTTTACATGTTGATGAACAACATCACCTTAATGCCTTAAAAATGCAAGATATTTAAGCCAATTCCCCCATGTATAAAATAAATATGTGTATACATGTTTCTTAGCTCCTAGCTCCTTCCTGTCAGCACTTAGGTTTCCAGAATTCATGGTCCTCGTATATTCTTTCTCTGCCTCTGATTTCTCTCCTTTCAAGCAATCTTAGCACTGTTTCCGTTCCTATAATACCTATGTCCTATAATTCTATATTTCCCTGCTATACTTTACCTTTAACATATATGCCTTATGTTTAATTCAACAAATATTTATTGAATAGATATGTATAAGGTATAAATGTTCAAAGATGACTTAGATACAGCTTTTACACTCTAGGAGTTTTGCTAAGAAAGAGAGAATATATAAACAATTGTAATAAAGAATTAGTAGGATATATGTAGATAGATAGTTAAAGAAAAGATTAAAGTTTGACCAGGTTATTTCCTATTAGCTCTATTTTAATCAACTAATTTATTTTCAAGTATGATAAAGACTAGAAATTGATTCACACACAGATTTTAACAGTGGATTTATGCATTTGTATTGCCTTCCCCAAAAATCAGGCCTCTAATTTTTAATTTTTTTTTAATGTTTGATATGGTAAAACTGCAAAAATGACTTGGTGGCAAACTGGCCTTTCACATTAGCCCCTTAAATTACACTAAGTAGGCAAGAGAAGAGTATAATTACATATGAAGTCAGCAGTGCTTAAAAGATAAGCAATGGAAATGTTTTATGTCAATGATAACAAATATATCAAACACTTACTACAGGCCAGGCACTATTCTTAATTTATTCATGTAAATTAAGACTTAATTAAACTCCCTTATGTAGAGACTATTATAATAAACATTTTATAAATGAAGAAAAAGACATAGAAAGTTGAAGTGAGTTGCCTAGCTAGGAATAATTATGCAAGTTTGTTCAGCTCAAGAGCCCGTGTTCTTAGTCTTTACCTCTGTGTCTCTGTGGAGTAAGAATGCTGTTTGAAGGGCAAATGGCTAGGGAATCAAAGAAGTTGGGATCAGAATATTTCTGATACTTTGTATGAATCAATTCCATTAGTCTCAGATGCTTTAGAAAATAAATATAAGCTATTCTATCTAAAATGCCTAATAAACTTCCTTGAGTATGGACACTTGCATCTGTCTAGTTTCCTACCCTTGCGCAAAACGTATCAAGATTTGCATTCATGAGCTTCTATCTTTTGAAGAGCACATGCATCTTATTGGCATCTTTTTAGAGTGTACATGTGGGGTGCATCGCATCAAAAGATAAATGCATACCACAATTGCTGAAACATGGCTAGCAAAATAGTTGTGTTGAAAATTTGTTCTGACTCTTACCATCATCTAACCATCAAAAATAGCTGACATGATAACAATATCAGAACAGCTGTGCTATTTTAAAGTGTTTTGTTTCCTAAACAACCTCCCACTATTACTCCCTGTCAAGATTTGCTGTTTTTATCCACTTGTGCAAATAAATTATTACTTGAATATGGAATAGATCAGGAGAAAATATGAAATAAATATGCTTAAGTAGATATATTTCCAGACCCAACAGTAATGGATGCAACTGATTTGCCAACTACATTCAGTTTATACATTGTAAAAATGAATCTGCTACCAGAAAGCCTGAGTTGAGAAAGTCCAGACTGGTTTATAACAATCTCCTGCTGGTGTTTTTTGACATAATTTAACTCTGAGTCAACAAAAAAGTTTTTTCTATATCATGTAGCTTGACAATATTAATTGAATACTTCCCTTAGAATTTGAACCATTGACAAAAAAGCCAAAATTTTTATCATGTTTCCAGAGGTCAAAGCTTAATTAGCAGGCAATAGTTTCCTGGGCAGGTACAGTTGTTATGTCTAAAAAAGACCTCAATGAAATATACCATCACTCAGTTTAATGCTCAGTTTTCTGAATAAGAAAGAAAATGGATCCACTGGAGGGTGAACGTAGTGTCATGATAACTAAAGTCAATTTGTTTGTTTGGGAATCCGCTTAGAATTTTAGTTATTCAGCTGTGTTTACTAATAAACTGTGCAGGCATGTAAACAAGCAGTCTCAAGAGACACAATGGCTAGACTCTCTGTTTCCAAAATATTGGCCCCAATTGTAAAGTTCATTTACAAAACTACACTTCCATTGGTTAACCAGTGGATAGCTGAGCAAAAGAGAAGCTGTTGTTCTAACTTTGTGATATTTTTGAACATTATGAAATATCAAGGTACATACTACGTAATACTACCAAAGAATAAAAATAGAATAAGAGCAAAATTTCATATAAATACACACAAGCACCACACAATTCTTTTAAATTAAAAAAAGAGATGGAAATGAAAAGGAGATGAAGATCAGTGTTATCTTCAGGCTTTTTATGTAGGGTATACTAACAGACCATGACCAAATGGCTCTGCCATTGTGGGTAGTTCCTGACCTGCCATTTCCCACAGTCCAAATTTTTCAGGTCAGAAGAATGGGTTAATTGCTTTACAGTCTCTAAGATTGTTTTATAAAATTGTTAGGTCACATCAATAAGATCTGCCAAATTAAATACTTGACTTTTATCTGATATTCTAGATCTGGTAAGAAAAAACATATATATGTATATGTCTAACATTCTATAAGCAACTCAAGTCAATGTTTTATGAGTTATAAATATTATACATATATCCCTTTAAGTAATAGTTCATAAAATACATTTAGCTTTAGCTTTCTACTCAACATATATTTATAAACTTTAACATTACTGAAATATCTTGGATCTCAATATACAGGTAGTCTATAATTCCCACAGAGTTTAAATTAAAGCTACTTTTAAAGAGTTAATAAAGTTTCTTATTTAGTTTTTAAATGAAGGAAATAAAAGTTGAGCTTGTAATATTAAGACTGACTCTTCATGGGAACTGAATGAATTGTTCAGAAGCATTCAGAAAAATATCATGTTGCCATATTTTTTTCTAGTATAAAAGGTGGATACTCTATTCACTCTGAGTATTTCCTAAAATTTCATGGATTCTGTGTTTTGATCCCAACATAAATATTTTGGAAGTCAAATATTAGAAAAACGTTGCAGAAGATTCTTGAATCCCACCTTTATATCCCTCTCCCTCTGTAGCTGAAGTAGAAGTTTTCAGCCTTGTCCTAACAAAACTTCACTGCAAATACCTGCATCACTTTGTTTCCCCATCTTAGTCTTTCTTCAGCTCTGCAACCAAAAATGCACTAAACTTAATATACCCAGGGTAAATCCTTAACAGATGAAAAACTAGGTGGATAAACCCCCAGCCTTCCTATTGTTCAGTGGGACAGTTTGAAGGTATGGTCCACACAATAGCTTAGAGGCGATCCAATAGAGTGGAGCATCAATTATCTGTAGCAGTAACCCTCTCATTAATGTACCATTTATTGGCTTTTCTCCTTTTCCCATCTCACTTATCTCATCTGTCCCTCATTCATATCTCCTAAGATCACCTCCCAAACAAATTATATGTTTGTTTGTCTTTGTCTCGTATTGGCTTTTGGAGAAAAATGAACTAAAATAGTTTGACCTCCAGTTTCTATAAAGAGATACTTAAACCTTTCCAATACCAATAAACAAAAATTCAGTGAACCTCTTGAAGTAAAACTCACAAAACAATGTTCTGATGAATTAATCTACATGATTCAAAAACTTGTGTGTTCCATTGCCCTGACTGCACAGAGAATCTACACATCAAAAAGAAACCAAAGTTATCCTCAATTGTCCCTAATTTTTGGTTTTGCTGATGCATGAAACTTAGATGTTGCTATGTTGTTCAGTATTTGGCCAGCAAAAAGCTTGGCTAATTCTCTTATCATTAACCACAACCTACATCATCATTGTTGCCAAGAATGTGAAGATAAACTCCTCAATGTAATACATGCCAAAAAATATTGTGTCCTTTGTGTCTAATTGAACATTTTTTCCATTTTTTAAAAGTGAGCACTTTTTTCAATTACATTTGTTTTTAAAAAGACTGTATTTTTAACTGGATGAACTGCTTACTAATTCTTTCTTCTTTTTCTGTTTTTCCTGTGGAGTACTCCCTATTTACTTTTCTTACCTAAGGTGAACAACATAATGTTTATACATATATACACACCATATATATTAAAACATATACAGTTTTATATGTGGTTTTATGTATATATACATACACACACACACACACACACAAACACATAGTTAAATGGTTAGTTTAAACACATGAACAAGGTAAGGCTATTATTCTTTGGTTGGTAAGTAACTAAATGAAAATGCTTTACTACTAAGTATTTTTATTAAATACTAGTACCACTAAATTAGAAAATTCTCAGGCCCTAGATTTAGGAATTTATTTAGCTGTAGTGCAAACATGTAGAATATAATTCATAGGGAAACAGTTTTTCCAGTTAAGAATCTTGAGGACTACATTAGCAAAAAAATACTTAAATTTGATTTTTGAGACTAATAAAATAAATGTAATTAATAATAATGCAAAAACATAACTACAATTGTTAAAATATATTAGTTTGATATTTTGTCTAGTTAATTTAACAAAAGAAAATGAGAGGGAGCAGAGAAAAGGAAAGAACATAAATTGTCAGAAAGTTGGTCTACTTTGTAAAATTCTTAATTGACTTAGATGTAACTAACTTAATAATATGTTACTTGAAAATATAAATAGTGAAATTTGTTATAATTTTAATTGTTATCTCATGGCCAAATGAGATGTAAACTGTAGAAAACCTCTGTTTTTCTAAGTTGTAATGAGGAAAACTTATCTTTCTGTCTACCTGTAACTTTTCAGAGCCAAAATATCTCTGAAAAAAATTTGTCTCTTTGAAACACTTTTCCTTTTCTGATAAGCAATAATTATATAGTTTTTCAAGTGACAACTCATTCTTAAGAGCCATAAATGACATTGAGAGAGTTATAAAAGATTTTAATTTTATATATTGACAAGTATAATCCAAATTTCCTATTTCACCAGATAAAAGTAAATTTTCATAATTACATAAAAATATGTACTAGTATGTCTTGAAGTTGATTATTCTATTAGTGTTTTTTTTTCCTGCTTTTGTATGGATAGAATCAACCTTTTGTAGGCTGTTACTTTTGCCCTATCTTTATATTTCCTGGGTACCAATCTCCTTACCTGCAAAGAAAGAGATTTGAAAATGTGGTCTCTAGTGTCCTCTCCTGACATAGCCTATAGATTCTAAATCCTATCCACAATTCCCAATTCAAGACCACATGGCCATTTTCAGTTCCCCCACCCATGTTATCGAGATAGGCTGACTTCTCTTTGCCAAGTTTGTTCATGGGACCAATGTGGTATATCCAAAGTGTATCTAATCTTGAAAAAATGATGACATCCTTGAGGATAGACTATGTATTATACTTTCCTATCCTCATCACAGAATAGGTGTTTAATAAATACCTATACTATCATCACAAAATCACTTATATCTTGTATGATATTGTACTAAAAAGAAAAGAAAGTGACTGTCACTTGATTAAGTTTCTTATCTTTTGGGGGGCACAAACTCTGCTTTTTACAACTTTTACTCAGGAAACTGATTTAACACAGAGAGAACCATTAAGTATCACTATTTTTGTTGTATCACTTCCCCCTGCATATCCTGATTTAGAAGTATTCTTTAATTACCAAAGAAATAATGCATCACTGAATCAGGAAATGTTTAATTATGGTCTGGTAGGAGCTTTGCTCACACATAGGTAAACCGTGTAACTTCTGGAGTCATTGAAAAATAATATTTCTTAATATCTGACAAGTCGTCAGCTATGCACTTAAGACAAGCCTCAAAAACACTTGTTTGACTATAGGTGGATAGGTGGACATTGGGTCAGAGTCAGACATGTGTTTGAAATATAGCTTTGCCATTTATTGAGTAAACTTAGAGAAGTTGATTAACTCTTCTGAGCTTCAGTTTCTCTGTTACAGTAAAATAGAGAATGGTAGTAACTATCTTACATTTTTGTTGAAAAGATTCCTTAGGATGACATATATAAACCACTTAGCATTCCTTGGCCTAAAGAAAGAAGTTTAATAAGTAATTTTCTTACTATTTAAATTATTGTGTGGAAACTATTATAGAGTGTATTTTTGTTTATCTTTAAAAACAGTTTGCTTTGGTTTGTCAGATTAATTTGTGAGAACATGAATAGCACAGTTGTGTAAGAAGTTTAGAACCTGTTTAGCTTAAGATCATGGAATCATCGAATATTAGAGCAGTGGAACACTGAGACATGAAACGTTTCATTTCACTTCCATCATTCACAACACATAATACATATACATCATACAGACGAAGAAAAGGAGACCCTGGAAATTGGAATATATTTTCTTTGTTTGCACATATAGAAAACTTGGGGGCTAGTCCTAATTCTCTCTTTTTCTAGCCAGCATTGCTTTATCCACACAATTCAGTCCTCTCAGATAATGAGAGATCAACATGAAGAAAATTGGAAGAAAGTAACAAAACATGACATAGATTTGGAATGTATGTGTTATCTAGTAACAAAATAATGCTATAAGACAACCATAATGCTCAGTAACACACAATAATAAACATTATTCAAATCTATAGGTGGGTTACTTATGCCGGACTTAGCTGGCCTGATTTTCTGATCTGACTGGGCACCCTCAGGCATCTGTGGTCTGTTTCTGAGGAAAGACGGCTATTGGCTGAGGCACTCAGCACTTCTCATAGTCTATTATCTTCAAGGTAGCTTGGGCTTGGGCTCACAGAATGGTAGGAATCCAAGAGAGAGAGAGAGCAGAGGCATTCACATTTCTTGAGGCTTAGGCTTATCCCTGCTACCGTATCACCTCTGCCAAAGTCTACTAATCAAATACATCATGAAACCAATCCAGAACTAAGTGGTGGGGAAAGTGGGGAAACAGACTCCACTTCATGATGGGAAAAACGTCAAAGTGCTGTTGCTAAGATGTAAACACGAATAGGGGTGAAGACTTGGGGCCAATTTTTTAAGCCTTCAAAGGAGATTGCACAATTTTGTAATAAAATTAACCTTTCCATCCTCTGTCTTAATAATATTTCTCCAAAATATTTGATATGTTGGTGTCTAGTTGCTGTCTAATTGACATTATAAGAAAACTTCAACATTTAATATGAAAAAAATGCCAAAATAAAATATTTTAAATGTTAATAAACTCAGTTGGATTGCAAAATGTAAATATCAACGTTATCTCTTCTTTAACCATAAGCAGCCTTCCATACCCTTAGTCAGAGTGCATGTGGGCTGCTCTTTATCATGAATTAAAACCAGCTTTGAAATCTCTTTGTCACTTTCTGAAATCAAGATTAGAATTAAGCGTTAATGCTACCAAATATATCAATCATCTTAACACAACCATTTAGGCACTCATACAGAAGACTTATCATCCTATTACAATACAATATATCAGAAAATCTTGAAAATTATTGTTGTGATATATATGCATTTATGCATTTTCATTTTATTTATATTTTAACATAGATAAGAGTAAAAATAATTACTAAAATAATCAGTTTATTTTATTATTTTTAATGGCAAATCAAGTAGATTTTAGGTGAAAAGATTTAGAGTTGAAGTCATCTATCTTATGTATAAGGTAGAAATATTTGCCCGTTTTCTAAATCATTATTGTTAGTTAACAAGAAGCTAATTTGAAAGGCTGTTTATAAAACAATTTATAGTTACTGTTTGAAATATTAGTAATATTTTTGAAGGATATTAGTAAGTTATTGGAACTGATTAAGAAGATAAATCTCTGAAATTAATTTTCTATCATAAACACAAACATTTTTTAAAAATTGAGCTTATCTTAATAGAATAATATTAAAATAAGCTTATTCCCTACTTCAACACTTAATACTCTTGTGTTAAAATAAATTACTTTCATAACAAATATATTATGAACAATGCATATGATTTTTCTATTCCACTGGAAATAAAGCTAAACTTTAAAGTAAGATGATTGTTCTATAAATTTCAAGACAATTGTAAGTAAAAATGTGCTAATTTCATCTTAATGGTGGTACCTTAAACTCAAGCCAAATCATGATTATAAGAAATCAGACTAGGACAGAATGAAATATAAGTCCCTGAGCTTTAATAAAGAGTAATTATTTTAACTGAGGGTTTTTTCAGGACTTGATGCTTTTTTACATCACTGACATTATGGGAGACATTATCAAAATTATTAACAAGTATTTTTGAAGATGTTAATATTTGAAGAATTATAAATGCAAGACTATAGTTACAAATGCTGTAATCAAACTTTTCTCTTATACATTTATGAAAAATAACATTATAAATATAAAGATTTTCTGTTTTTCATCTTTCATCGACGATGTATGGCTTTCAAATTCTTCTGTTAGCATAGGAGGAATAATGTTTCAAAATGTATTTTTTTGAGCATATATATTGGCAATATAATGTGCTAGTTGAACTTCTAACACTTGGCTGATATTAAGTCTTGGTTAATGTGCTTTTTCTCTGGTATTTCTAAAAGTGCTGTACTGCAATATTTTTCATTTGTTGATTTACCTGGTTAGACAGAATAGGTGTCTAATTTAGAAAAGGTAGCTCTTGTTTATTGTGACTTTTATATTTATTTACAATGTTCAGTAGTACTTTACATTCTCTTTAACGAAATCAGCTAAATTCCAACAACAACAACAAAACTCTGAGGCATTCATGTAGAGTAGGGTGCAATAACCTTTGCTGTTTTTCCAATAAATCATTTGGCACTTATAGCTTATAATAAACAGTTCTCTTCATGCGCTCTGAAGGAATCTGATCTTTCGCTAAGGTAAGTGTTATCCCAAGGGTTCAGAGAGGATGGAAAGAATTTAGAAACCTCAAAGTTGGCTTCTGTGAACACCTGGTTAATTATGTGAGACAATAAATGGGAAGTATGGCAACTTTAAGCATACTTATTTATTTCCAGACTACCAGGGTGTGTATATATGTGTGTGTGTGTGTGTTTGTGTGTATATATACGTATATATACGTATATATACATATATATATGTATATATACATATATACGTATATATACGTATATATACGTATATATACGTATATATGTATATATACATATATACATACATATACGTATATATACGTATATATACATATATACATACATATACGTATATGTATGTATATATACATATATACATATATACATACATATACGTATATATATGTATATATACATATATACATATATATACGTATATATACATATATATACGTATATATATATGTGTGTGTGTATATATATATATATATATATATATATATATATATACTTGTTTTCCTACTTCCCTATGTAGAATACATATAAAATAAATAACTTTATAATAAACCTTATGAAAGATAACCCTCCAGACTCTGGCTCATCTAATTTTACCTTGGAAGGAATAGTATTATTTACCAATCTTAATAACAAATACCTGAAAAGCTACCAGATCATTAGGACTGGAAATCAAAGCACATGTCCATTTAGGAAGGGTCTTCTGAAATTGGTCTTCTGAATTATTTTAAATGTTAGGGATATTTGTGATATTTTAGTATATGGAAATATATTTTGCATTGAGTCTCATCTCAGTGTTTACATGTATGGACGATATACATGTAATAATGTTTATGTTCAGTTGTTGTTTATGGTCAATGAGGGGTAAGAATAACTCTCCCATTGTCTTCCAGAGTAAAATTAACAACCATAATAATACAAATAATAGCTAATAAAATATGCTATTATGTTACATATGTTAATCTTTCCCAAACCATGCTGATTTTACTATTATTATTACAACTTTACTGATTAGAAAGTTGATTTTAAGTAGTTAAACACTTAGTTGCCCACAATGATCCAGTTCACAAGGGGCGAAACTAGAATTCAGATAGAGGAGATGACTCTAGATTTTGAGCTGTTATTAGCTGCTACACTGTACACTGTGAGCATTTGACTGTATTAGGAGGTCCAATCTCACACTTATATTTGTACTTACGCAAAGCCCAAAACACTCCATTGAAAATGAATATGGGTATGACAGAGGCCTCCTTTTCTATCACAGGTTTCTTCCCTTTATGCTCATTAGAGCTAACCTAATAAATAAAAAGGTTTATTTTTATGAGAATGTTTCTAACATATCAAGATTTGCACATGCCATATCATTACCAATAAAGTTCGCTAATGAGCATGGCTTTGTACATCAAGAACTGTAAACTGTAAATGGTCCAAAGTGCATCTTATCCTCAGGCAAAATAAGTAACTTCCCACATATATATGTAATTTTGGAGGTGCCTACAGAGCTCTTCTGTACCATCCTATCTCCACTCCCCAAATCCCAAACACCATCAAACACCTAATTTACTCATCACCAAACTCTGAATTGTCAGGATGCGTTATAAATGGAAAAAGCTCCAACGTGGGAAGAGTTGATAGGTGAAGGAAACTGCAGGCTTGGGATTTGAACTAATGCTCTCTCCATCCCTATTTCAGTAAGAAAAGGCAGTGTCTTGCCAAAGAAAAGTCACAGTAAAAGGGAAAATGAAACCGCTATGTTTTTGTTATATTCTAAATGATGTCATGACCTAGAAAATGTTATCCTTTCATAAATACCATTGTCAAATATCAAAATGTTAGTGGTATAATAGTAGAAATTAAAAATCTAGTTAGATCAAGATACTAATTTAGTAGTGAGGTCCCACTTCCTACTTCAGATTTGGCTTCAATTCAAAAGAAGTCAGAAAAGAATATTTTTAGTGCTGTTGTAATAGCATTACAGTTCTCTATTTTTGTTTTGCCTCTGTTTCAAAAATTATATCTATGCAATTTATTTTATAAATAACAAAAATGGCCATAAATTTTACCCTCTTATGCAAACTTACTTTTGCAATGTAACTTTTTGTATCTCCTCCAACTTGCAATTCTTCCATCAAGAAGTAGAATCTATCTTCCACCCTTTGATTTGTGGCTTATCCATATGACTTGCTTTGACCAATGGAATATTAACAAGTGTGATGCTAATAGAGATTTAAAGCATTTATGCACTAGATCTTGCTCTCTTATGGCTCATTGAATCTTGATGCTCCATGTGCAGACACCTGAGTATCCCTGGAGGATGACAAAACTTTTTAAATGAGGACTTTACAGACTAATCAACTTGCCAACTGTCAGATATGATTGAGATGATTCTAGACCATTTAGCCTTGGCTGAGCCTGTATAGACAGAAAAAAAAAACTGTCTAAGCAATCTAAAGAATTGTGAAAATAATAAATACTTGTTGTTTTAAGCCAATAAGTTTTGGGGTGGTCTGTTGCACAGCAAAAGATAATTGATACATTCCCTAGCTTTTTTTTATTGTTGTTGCTGTTATTGTAGATACAGATATTTAAGAAAACATAACTAGCACTTTCTGGCATGGGAAAAATACATATGGAAATGTAAAAATATGAATGTTCACACTCTTCAGTAATTCTAAGAGAGCATCTAATTGCTAGGTTCCGAAATAGAATGAAATACCACTGCTCAGTTTACACGACGCAAAACTGGCTCCCGTTGTGTTGCCAGTATTACATGTGAGGAAAATGAGAAGTACAGTTATGTTTATGTTGACACGTCTTCATTTCAAGTTTAAGCATTTGATTTGTTTATACTTTCCCCCATTTCCTTGGTTCAGCTGCACTGTCTGGGTTTTAACAAGCTTCAGTTTTACCTCATTCGGTGAGACAGTGTCTGAGTTTAGGATTAACATTTGTACAGTGAAACATAAATGCTCATGAATTGTATATAATATTTTAGCAAAAGCTTATTTAGTTTTACTGCTTTCACAAATTTTTGGTTTAACCAGCAGCCTTCTATTACTCCCTTACAAATTCAATTTAATGGATGGTAAGAATATAATAGTTGGAATGTCTTCTTTCTAGGTTAATAAGTTTAGTAGGTAGCTGCTCTCTGCTGTGGATTAAATAAAAGTTTCAAATTTTGCTTTATCTTTTTCTGTTTCCCTTTATTCAAAAATCTAACTGCTTCTCTTAACAAATAAATCTAAAAAGTTTAAGTTACTCTGAAATAAGTGCATATCCTGATCGGATTAACTAAAAACAATGCTTGAAAAGTTTTTAAAAAACTACACACAAAGTTCTATGTCACTATAACACCATTTTTCTATCTTGTGTATGTAGGATATTTTTGAAATCTTCTGCTTTCCCTATTTTTGCCCTTCTTCCAGTCTCCTGAAATAAGCTCTCCCTGTCCTCAGGAATTCAGTGATCTAAACAACATAGAGTTAGAAGAAAACTTAGAGGCTTTCTTGAGTCTATATTTAAAATATATTTTACTCCTATTATCAATAAGAAATGTTTTAATAGATATACATATAATATTGATAAAATATTATCATAAATTAATTTTTATTTTCATATTTTCATCAGTGCATGATGATAGTTTTTAATTCTATTTTATTTCATTTCCATTTACTTCTATTATATTATCTTTTTATTTGTTGGGTTTTTTCTTGTTTTGTTTTTGTTTTTAAGTGTTGGTCACTCACTACTAAATTGATTTTGCATTTTAGTATTGGATTTTGACCTATAGGTGGAAATATACTGTCCTACCTTAGAAGGAATAAAATAATTTACATCTTAAGATGCCTGTTATGATAACTATTTCATTCCTTCTCATCTTTCTCTGCTTTTCTCCTAGTAAAGTAGATATCTCTATTCTAACCTCCTTTCGAAGGAGAGGAAATGTTATCTCCACAGACCTCAGGCCCATGGCAGAGCCATCCCATGAATCTTCTATCCTTGGATCTCCTTTTCTTTGATTTCCTGATAATCATAATGACTCTCAAATTGGCTTATAGTTCATTTCATCTTTTTAAAAAAATGTCTTGCCACCTGTCCTTCTTAAGCCACCCTACACACATATACCCTGCTTCCAGCTACTTTTCGGTTTTCTTTTTTAGTTTCATTTTTCTATCCCAGTGGCTCCTGCCCCAAGACTTTGTCTTAGATACTCCTCCTTTTGATCATAGCCCTTATCATCATCATTTTTGTAGAGCCCCAAACACCACTAGGGATAATTTAAAATGGCTGGAATCAAGTATGGTTAGCAAAAATGACTTCCAAAGATGGAGAAATAAAAAATTATTTTGATGAGAAATGGGTCCCTCTACTGGTTTAAAAAATAATGAAGATTTAATTAACTAATTTATGTCCCTTGAATCTTTCTGTCACTTTTCTAGCTAAGCATTGGACAATGATATCAAGTAAATAAATTAAAGTTTGAGAATATATGTCCTTGTTTAGAATTATATCAGGTAATCTCTCATATATGAGCTGAATCCCAGTCTGCTCTACTTCCCAGAATCACTCAGAACTCACTGGAGGGAAGCTCTTGCTTTTCTGCCTCTGGTATCTGCTCAAATGCAGGCACTCTTATGGTTACAAACTTTCCCAGCTTCCACTCTCTCTTATGTTTCTCACCCCAAACCTTTCAATCTATTTTCCCCCTTTCAATCTATTTTCCCCCTGCTTACCTATGTCCATCTTTATGAGAAATGAAGTATGTTATTTTCAAACCCAAAAGTATCCATCCTTGCAGGCACATGCAATTAAAGTGGGGTAGGCGCATTCCTATCATGACTTTCCAGACTTTCAGCTGTAAGATGGGGATGCATTTATACTGTTCAGAGAATCTCACTGTGCTGAGAACCTATATTCTTCTCTTGGGAATCAAATCACTTCCCTTCCTTTTTCCTCACTAACCTCAATTCCCAGTTACTCAGTGTTTATTGATCTCAGCTAGATGTAGATAGAAAAGCAAAGTTCAGGTCATAGGTCTCTGCTAGAGAGCTTTTGCAGTTTTGAAGGTTATCAGATTCACTATATTGCTAATTGGTGGATTTCAACAGGGAGGAAAAAAAAATCAGTCAATGTAGGCTGAGAAAATAGTTAAGTGCCAATAATCTTACTTCACGTTTAATAGTCACCACTTGCCTTCTCTATCTCATCCTTTATTTATCAATATTTATTGATTGATTCATTTTCTAATGGTTATACAATTTATTACTAGAGTCTAATTTTGATTTGATAATTTTTATCACTTATTTATAGCAATATAAATCACATAGTAATCTGCCGTTTTTCACTAAAGCCAACATATGAATTGTATTTGATCCTTTTTATCTGGAGGGCCAGCTGAAATTTTTAATTTTAGAAAACAAAAGCAAAAAGTAGAATCTTTTCTTAAAAAGAAGAGCAGATATATGTCCTTAATTCTGTAAAAACTCAATCAATAGAAGCCAGAAAGTGGTAAGAGCAAACTAATGACAACTGTTGCCAGACAATGTCTCCTTGACAGAATTAGCTACATAAATAATTTGTAAGGTCCCAGTGCAAAATAAAAAGTGGGGCTTCATGTTGAAAAATTACTAAGAATTTCATTATGCCAATAGCAAAACATTGAACTATTCTCAGGGCCCCTCTAGGTATATAGTACTCTTTCCAACTGCACAGGTCATGTATATCCATGAAGAAGACCTTGATTCTAGAACATGTTTTGCAAATGTATACTGAAAGCTACAATCTCCTCCTCATCTGTATCTGTATCTATTGTATTGAGTCTTTTTTTTTTTCTTCACAAGAAGAACTTTTTGGAAGAGTAGTCTAGTTGACTGCTAACAAATTCATTGGGAAACTGCTTATATGTGTGGAAAATAACACAATTAGATTTCTATTTCATACTATTAAGCAAATAATCAGTTCTAGGTGGATTTAAGACTGAAATGTAAAAATTGAAAGTTTTTTTTAATTTGAAAACGATAGATTATGGCTTTAGGCCAGGGAAATGCACTTTAAAGAAGTACAAAAATGTACAAAAACACAAAAGTTGAGATTGATATATTTAACTATATTAAACATTTTAGAAACTAAATTAAAAGACAAATTAAATACATTAAAAAAAGTCAAGGCTATAATGTGAGAAAGTTATCTGTCATACAGATAGCTGGTAATAGGTTACCATCAGAATGTATAAAAAATCCTTTAAAATAGGCAATGACACATTTTAAAAATACTATAAAAAATGAATATACTTGAATGACCGATATATCTATAAAAACATGCTCATTATCAGAACACTTCCAGGTACCATTTTACACCTCATCCTCATCTCCATCAATAGCCTTGGATGTAGTCACAGAACTTCTGAGTCACTAGGGGTAGGGTGGGGCCTTGGAAAGTTAATTTTGAAGAAGCTCTCTGAGGGATTCTGATGAGTACCATGGTTGAAAAATGTTTTCTTGAATTTTAACAGATCCTGGTCCAAAGGAATCAATCATCATAGCCTAAAATTGTAACTTCCACACAGTTTTTCAATCTGTCACTTCCTTTCCATTGCTGTGGTTCAGAGAGGTTTAGAGAGGGACTTTGCTACGTGTAAAGAGGTTGGTCTTAAATGCCAGACAGCAGTATACTCCAGCTGTGCAGGAGGTGCAAGGACCATTAACCCACAACTACATGGAAAGCAAGGAGAATAGTGTTCATGAGTCTCCACCAATGTCTTCTATATTAGGTGACAATCATTTCCTCCAAACCCTTTCTCTCTAAACCCACAGCTCATAGAGAAACTGTATTTCCTGATGTCCACAAGAACCTGTCTCACTTCTTCTTTCATCCTTGATTGATGGAGGGAATAAATCATTCTTCACTTCTAGTGAAAAAGGAGGGAAGAAGTGCTCAGGGAAGGATGCAGCCAGGACATGGATTTTTATTGGACCTGAAAAGATGATTAGTTGCCCTGTAATAGAGCACAGGCGTGTTCTGATAACAGTAACTTCTACATCATTTGAGGCAGAAACAGAAAAACAAACCTTATATAGTGTCTCACAAAAGTACCCTTTAGCTAATCTCTCTAATATATAAAAATCTGTTAATCTGAAGAAATAAGAGATTAAAAGTATATATAAAAATGGGTAAAAGAATGGATAGAACTTACACAGAAAAAATAAATGTACATAAAATATACAAAAATATGCACCATATTATTCTTTATAAAAATGCAGAGATTACTATTACTGGGAAACCGGAAAATTTCAAAAGTTTTACGGTTTATTCTGTAGCTGTGGCTTTTGGAAAGCAGTAACTCTCATGTCTTGCAAAATGGTCAATCTCTATCAAGGAAAATTCCCTTTGATCTATAATCTCACTTTTAGAAATCCACCCTGACAATAGGCCTTCCAGAATACAAAACAACATATTATGATGAATTGTTATAATTTTGTGTTGCCTCGGCATTCATTTTGAATACAAGTTAAACTTTCTGATACCAGAAGCGGGGCTTAGTCATTTTTGACACAATTTCCAGTTCTACACCACACTTACATGACTCAACCTAGCCAAAAAACTTAGATCCATCTCTCCCGCTTCTTTTAAAAGGACAGTCAGGCTTTGCGTGGGAATGTAAAGTGACCCACACCATATTCACTTACATATACCGCTAGTTGCCATGTGCTCTTCTCCCTCTCTGTCTGACTCTTCATTCCTGCCTCCTGTGACCTGGGGACAGAGGACTGCCCTCTTGACTCATTGTGCCTCCCTGCCCAGGATCTGTAAGTGAAAATCTTTGAACTTGTTTCTTATTGTGGTAGTATATTAAATTTGCGTCTTCCATCTGAAAAACCAGGGGCTTCCCCAGGCTGGGTTTTTTCCTGGAAATGCAGGCAAGAGCACATAGTCAGGCTTCCAGTGCCAGAGCAATGGTCAGTCATAATCTGGACACAGGTCAGACAAAGACAACGTAGGTATCTGCCAGTATAAAGAAGTTTCCCATGTGACAGATACCCCAACTCCACCCCAACATCACGAGTTAGACAACCAGACATTAAGCCATCCTCCGAGTAAAAGAAATAAATATCCTGTGAAAGGCATACTGTAAACACCCATATCCAGCCCCAGTCCTTTTCCTTTAGGGCAGGGTTACTAGGTGCTCTGGTACTGGAACCCCAGTTTAGCTGGGGACTCTCAAAACACATATGCAAATGGTATTTTTTATGATGCTATTTCGTAATAGCAAAATTTTAAAACAAATTCTCATCTATAAAAAACTGCTTTAATAAAGCATCATAAAAAAACAAAAAGAAATACGAAGTAGCCATTAGAAAGAATGAGAAAAATCTCTATAAATTGATAGAGGAGTAATTTCTAGAATATAATTTTATGGAAAAAAGGAAGGTCAAAGATTGCATTCAATACTTTAATAGGTTATTATTTGTGCAAAAAGAAGACAGATTTTCCCCCAAAAAGAACTAGGGGAAAGATAAACCAAAAGGCAATAAAAATGATTATATATAATGGATAGGAGGGAAAGGGTGGAGCTGGATATAGTGAAAGGAAGATTTCCTTGAGTAAAATTTTTAATATAGTTAAAAGTCTAAATAAGATAAAAAATCTGAAGTTATCTAATAACTGAGTCTATAATTATTACTATTAGTGGCAGTATCCCTATTTATGATGTTATTTTATGGGCACTGTAGAATAAAGCCAATAAATTAATACATTAATTTTATGAAAAGAAAACATGCCAGTAATCCCAGTGCTTTGGCAGGCAAAGGAAGGAGGATTGCTTGAGGTCAGCCTGAGTAACATAGCGAGACACCATCCCTACAAAAAATGTTTAAAAATTAGCTGGGCATGGTGGCACAAGCTTGTAGTCCTGGTTACTCAGGAGTCTAAGGCAGGAGGATTGCTTGAGCCTACTAATTTGAGGCTGCAGTGAGCTATGATCATGCCATTGCACACCAGCCTGGGTGGCGGAGCGAGACCTTGTCTAAATCATACATACGTGCATATTTTTACTGAGAGAAAAACAGGTACCAATATAAAATACAAGGTAAAAAAATCCTGTTAATGTTAAAATTTTATTAGAAATATTAGTTTGAATTCTTGATTAAAAACACCAAAAGACATTTCCTGTGTCTGTCCACTATAAAGGTCTAGAAATAACAATAACCTAGTAGCAATGAGACACCAAATGACCAGATATTGGTTTCTAAGTACAATTGCTGATTACAAGTAATTAATACCTATTATGCCTGAAGGAAAAAAAAAATACTAAAAGGCTCATGAAGTAAAAGGGAGGGGGCAACACTGACCTAAAGGGGCCCCTTCAATTCTGGTTAAGTTGAGAATCTCCTAGAATAATGAAAAAATTTGATTATAATCTCCTAAAACTGTGAGTCCAAAACCACAAAATGTAAAAAATAAAAAGCAAAAGTCTCCTTTTACAGAAGACTACCAATAGAGCATAGAATAAATGATGAAATCAGATGAAATGTGAGAACTAATGAGTTTGTAGCTCCCAATGTAAAAACTCCTTTAGGCACTTACTATAAATAGATGTTTAAACCATTGGGTTAAAGATCATTGGGGAAGAGAATTTTTTTGCATCAGTTGTAAATGATTACCCACAGATTACCAGCTAATTACAGAGGAAAAAGTTACAAGGAAGAGATATGATAATCACTGCTCATATCCAAGTGATCCAGCAGTTACACACACAGTTGGGCAGCCTGATATTATGTACCTCCTACATGTGATGCTGTAGAGTACACAGCGTTATCTATGTGGTGTCATTGCTAAATGACAGATTTTCCCTTAAGGTAATTATGATGAAATAAAATAAAGCAAATTCAGAAAGTGGAATGTTCTCAAAGAAAAATGGCCTGACTCTTCAAAACAAAATGTAAAAATATAAATAAAAAACAGTAAAGTCTTTAAAAGTAAGACACAAAAGGAGTGTGTTGGGGGGAACTCTTGTAGATTAAAATAGACTAAATAATCATAACAAATGCCATGATGAAACCTCACTGGATCCTATATCAGGGAACAAACCTAAAAGTTACTTCTAGGAAAACTGGGAACATATGATTGTGGACTGTATACTCAATAATCTTATAAAATTATTGTTAACATATATTTTATGTCGGATAATGATATCGTGGTTATGCTGGATAATGTCTTTCTTTTAGAGGTGTATGCAGCGTATTTATGAGAAATTATTGTATCTGCAACCTACTTTTCAAATGGTTAAAAATTGTATGCAGAGAGAAAGAGAGAGAGAGCAATGATGGAGGATAGAAACACTGATGAAGCTAGGTGAAGGGTTTAGAGTTAGTCATTGCATCTTTAAAAAGTTCTCTATAGAGTGGGATTTTTTAATAATACGAAGTTGGGGAAGGGGAAGGTGTTTGTCTCATATTTACTTTCTGCAGCTCATATTCTGCAAGTAATATTCTTGCTCCTTTCAAACTGTACCAAAACACCCTCATTAAGCAGTCAAGCTATAACCACAACAGCATCACCACACCCTCAAGAACAGTTGAGTTTTATACATTGTTCTCTCATTTTAAACAGCAAATGGCTGTTTCTTGCCCTCCGTGTCCATCCCCACACTGCCTCTAAAGGGCAAAAGCCCAGATAAGCAATTTAACAATTTACATTAACACATAATACTTAGTATCTGATTTCAGGTTAAGGTGATTTCATAATTGCTATTGCTGTTGTTTTTGCCCATTTATATAATTTTTCCCAGAACAAAGAATTCTATGACACAACTGGGGATTATACATTACAGCTTTAGGAAAAACCTAATTACCTAAAAATTTTAAATGACTCCCATATATGCACATGCTACATTACATGGATTTGTAGGGTATCCTCACAAAATTTTCCATTAGGTAAAAATGCATTTCCTGAAATATTTATCATACCTGTATTTATGCAATGTTAGTTTTCTCATTTATATTAGGTCTGTATAGTGCTAAAACCTAGTAATTGCTTAACAAATACTTGCTGAGTAAATCACGGAATGTATGGTACTGGAGACTTGAGGTTCAATAGAAATAATCAATAAATAAATCTTTGAATATAAAGGAGATGTCTGAGGGAGATGTGTAGAGTTTAAGGGAAATAAGTCAAAGAAGAAAAATAAACTGAAAAGGGAAGAGGAAGAGTAAAAGAATGGCAATAGCTGCAAACATCAAGAGGGATGTTTCATTCATATTGTTTAATTTTTCTCTTAGTCACATTTTAAATGAGTACTCATTACCTCATAGCTAGAGAGGCTACCATATTGGAGAGTGAAGCTTATAAAAATTTTCCATCTATTGCATAAAGTTCTATGAGGCAGCACTGCTGGAGAAAGTATTAGAGTAAAAAAAGAGGTAAGAAGTAAAAACTTGAAGAAAAGAGGCAATAAATAAAACTGCAACATCTGTAACAGTGACATCTGTTGGTTAAAAATGAATCAGGAGACTTTCAAAAATATTTATACTTTTGATTTTATATTCTATTAACATAGTTGGTTTGATTTCTCATGGACCCTTACATTAGTATTTCCAATTAAAACCACACTCTTTAAAATTGTGTTTGCTGCATATAAAATAATCATTGTTGTAGCAAATTTTTCAAAAACTAAAGCCAAGGCAGTTTAAAGATGTGTGATGGAAAAGAGAGGGGGAGTTAAGTCAAGAAGCAACAATTAAGGAAGTGTCTTAAACACCAACTCTATTTTGGTTTTCTTGAGCATTTCCACTCTTTCCACTTGTGTTAGTCACCATCCCGCAGTTTCCTTTCATGTCACTGAAAGTGAGTTAACTCAGAAAATAAAGAGGCATCTGTCTCCATGCTTTCACTATTCTATAAACAACTTACATTGCTCGCTACTGCGGCATAGAAGTTTAGTCAGACTCATTTGTTTTTCAAGTACCTTCCACTGTCTTCTCAGAATAAACACTATTGGAAAAAATTTACTATAGTAATCTTATGTGAGTTGTTTCCCTCTCTCTGAACTCAAAACATTCTTTCAGTATGTGAGAATGGCAAACTCAATTATTTTATGCTCAACAGAATTTTATTGAATCCCCTGACAGTTCAGATAAACTACTAAATGAATGTTTATTATAAGCATGCAGACAAATGATACATTATAGGGAGGAAACTACTCGAAGCAGTTATTCTACCTGTAAACAAAGTTTGCCTCGGAAGATTTTATTTTATTCCTAGAAAAATGCCATGGATTAGATTGAAAACTGGAGGATATGTCATTGTAATTTTGTTTGTCTGACTCTGCATCTTGTGTAACCAGGAATGTCTATTCTCATAGATTTTGAATTTAGACCAAGTGAAAACTTGACAACAGACTGTGTCTGCTTTTCCCAAACATCATTAACTTTTGAAAAACCCAAACCATCAGATGTGGTGAAGACAGGAGATGAGGGAGACTGATAGATAGATAGATAGATGATAGATGATAGATAGATAGATAGATAGTTAGAGAGCAGACATAGATGATAGATGATAGATAGATAGATAGATAGATAGATAGCAGATATAGATAAGTAATTTTAGTGTCAATTCTAAAGTCTCCTATGAATATTTGCACCACTCTTTAACAGATTTTAAGGTTTATTTTGTCATCATTGTGAAACCAAAGAATAGGTAGAACTTGCTTATGTTTTCAACAATGCTTTTAACACAAAGTATAAAAGCAACATATATTGTATATATGTTCTATCAACATATATGTTCTATCAACATATATTGTATATAATACCCTTAACTACTTTGCCATTAGTTATCTTTTCATTATTAGGATTCTAATCAATAGAATAATTGAAGCATATATGTTAAAAATCTGTTAAGTTAAAAATCTTAGTTTATAATATTTTAAGGAATAGTATATCTGAGTAGAAATCCATAGTCATAGAATCACAAGGAATGAGAATAACAATGGAACTTATGTTAGATTAGTCTTGGGACATCATCAGATGATTCCAGGCATGACCTCAATTGCTCTCCATAATATTATATGTATCATGCATATATGAGATAGTAAATATGGAAGTGTGCTTCTAAACAATTTCCTGATAGTGAATGCTTCAAAACTTATCTGTGACTCTATTTAATAAGTCTGATAAAATTGTAACTAAAAGAAGGACAAATAAGATGCAAAAAAGAGGAAGAAGAAGGAAAATAAGAGAGAGAAGGACAAAGATACAGAGAGAGGGAGGGCGCAAACCACCACCACCATTATCACCACCACTATCACAACAACAACTGGGATAGCAATGTTTTAATAGGGTAGTATTATTATCATTATTATTGCTTAATCTTTATTTCCATTAGCACTCTAAGTGCGGCGTATGTAAAAAATAAAATGTGCAGCTTCCTAAGGAAATAGATTTGAGAAAGCCAACTCGCAAATCTAGTGCTTCATTATATCAGCTGCATAAATTGTTTCCTAATTGGACACTTACTCATCTTTTAAACATACTAGCAGGTATAAAATGTTCAGGTGGAAAACCAGTTTAGGTTAATATATCATGTTATCTATTAGCACTGTAGCTGATTACTAAGTAATGCAAATGTTTAAATTACCAAAAAAACTATATCCTAATAAAATTGGAAATTTTTAATAATGACATTTTGTTTAACATTAATTCTCTAGAAAATGCACAAAACAATGTATATTTTCTGGCATCATGGAGCATTTAGACTAACATTTTCCTTCATATTGATGTCAAAGAGAAAGAATCAAAGTGACTTATGTCACCAAAAGAAACAGGAAAGAAATATTCTTTTAAACACCTACTCACAGCTGTTACCAAAAATCGTAGTAGATTTACTATCACATCAAATAAAAAAAATCAAAATGCTGTTTGTCTTTATTATTTCCTCTCCTCTGGGAAAGTAAGTGACCCATGCTAGTTGGTGAATGTTTTTCCTTTCTAGTGCAGGTGACAAGAGTAGGTTTTGGCATTTGTTTTGCATTACTGTCATTCTAAAAAGAAACTAGAAAATATATAACATTTGTATATATTAATTTCAGAAGCCAAATTACATAATATTTGTAATGAAAATTAAATGCAACAAATTCAAAGTCATAAAGAATTAGATATACTTTTATGTTAAGATGGCTTTTCTGTTAGGCTCATCTTTCAAAATTACAGCATTGAAAAATACATTTATCTGGTTTCGATCTGAATACCTACATTCTCACATGTGCATCTTCATACGAGTCAGACAGTGCCCACAAATATGCTCCTTTAGTAGTCTGAGCAGTTTTGCTGGCCTGTACCAAAATAGAAAGAAAATTATTAAGTAGAAATCCCCCAAGGGGAATCAAGTTGAGGTAATTTAAATGACAATCTTGTTTAACTTTGCATTTTTCTATAGGAAGTCATCTCCTGATCTTGTCAGAAAGAATTTTTTTCCTTTGCAACTCAATAACCCCCACATATGCCATTGTTATAGTAGTCATTTCATTTTCAGTTTATTTTCCTTATTTCTCTCTATTACACCTAGAACATAGAATTTTTATTAGTACTCAATCACACATTACACGTAGAACATTGTTTAGTACTCAATAACAGATAAATTAATGAACAAAAATTATTATTTAAATTCTATTAGGTTTCACATATAGCAATTCTACAAAAGAGTGCAAGGGAATAATTAAGACACAGAGCCAATAGTTTATCAGCACAGAATTTCGTTCCTTTAAATTAGGTGCTTAATATTAATTTGTCAAGTGGATTTATATCTAAAATATGCAAAAATTAAATGATAATATTATAGATTATGGTCTGTAAAATAGTAAGAAAGCATCTTGCACATGTTACAAAAACAGTAAATATCCACTGTTTTGAGTTGACTTACTTAGAAAAAGCCTCAGTTAATTCCAGTTAAGTTAAAAGTTCTGTTTAGGAAAGATTTCCCCCCAACCCCGGCTAATAAGCATTAATGACAGCTTAATCCTATCACATCTTTTCATGAGAATACCATGTTTTGGCAATGACCTCAATTATAATGCTAGTTTATTCTTTTCTGAAAGATATACCATGAAACTTCTAACTACTCCACTCCCACAACAGGATGTTCTGCTCTGATTGGCAGGGAGAGTTTGAAGGTGGGTTGGCAGAGACTGTGACCGCAACTGACTGCGTTCTGCAGAATTATGGTAATGAAATTGGAAGCCAACTTTCGTGAAGCAGAAAGCCTCAAGGTAATTGCCATGTACTATAACTTTTCCTTCCATTCGGAAAACAGAAATAAACAGCACATTTTCCCCATGAATCTACTGTATTTACCAGTATTGTTTGTGGGGTATACTTTGCCAGTTGACATTACTTTAGTAAACTTATTATTATACGGTGAACACCTGCCCCATAAATATAGAATAGAAAAGCTATATTATATTTGTGTTTGGTGAAATGAAGTGTTACCCAAACTCAGATGTGGTGAAGACCTTTTGTGTTCTCTATATTTATGGAAGCTACATGCCACTTAACATATACCAAATTTGGTAAGCAAACAACCTTGACTCAAAGTTCAACTTTACATGATCTTTGTGACCGGAGATTGGGTCATTCAGTTTCTAATGTATAGTTTCAACTAAGTTAGAATTCTAAGTATGTTTTAAATTTTAAAAATAAAATGTTAAGTTTCTTATTGAATAGCTAAATATTGAATTGAAAGACTACTTCCACACTTGATTGATGGAGTTTTCTCTTATTAGTATAGAAACCCATCAGAAGTTTATTTAGATTAGGTATTACTTAGGAAGATAGCATTAGAAAGTACAACCTTATCTTTTCCTATAGCAACAGGATGTAATGGTAAGAAAGAACAGAAGCCAGAGAGATCTGGACTTGTATTTCTGCTACTTTCTGTGTTCTTAGATAACTCACTTCAACTCTCTGAATCCTAATTCCTTGTTTAAACATGCAACTCTATTCTGTAAGTCTGTTTTTTAAGTACTTAGAAATAACATATATAAAGACCAAAAACAATCTCTGGTATAGAAAATTTTAAAAAAAAATGTTGTACTGAATGCTGTTAATACTACTACTCTTGTACTTTTAGTAAAATATCTTATAACTTAATTATTCTAATATTATACTTTCCATTTGTCTTATTGTGAAGACAGAAATAAAGTTATAATTGCACCCCTCAACAACAAAGACATTGTTGAATGTCTACTATGTCCAATTGTAGTTGGATAACAGGACTGTAGGAAATGTAAAACCAACACAACGCCCCAACCACTTTCCTCAAGTCAGTTGGTATTGCCACTGAAAAGGAATTTGCTGTGAAACCCCTGGAAGAAGGTATAGCACTAGAACTGAGGGTCAAATACTTTGAATTAATTATCAAGAATTTCTTGATTTTTCAAATAAAAACTGTGACCTATGAAAGTAAAGTGAACTGAGAAACAGTTATTGATTTATATATAATATATAATATATTATATATATATATATATATATATATTCCAGATAAATGTAATCTTGGTATTGCTAGTTTCACCTTTACTGCCAAGTTACAAAACAAAACAAACCAATCTAGTACGCCCATAAATAGAGTCTGGCCATAATTCTCTGCTCTCCTCAGACTGGAGAAAATAATGTTACCAGATAAAAATATAGTGAATGACTATCTTAACAAGGAAACTGAGGAACTTGTTTCTCCAGTTAAATTCAGTGTGAATTTCCTTACTATTTATTTCATTTAGAAGCAGAACTCATGAAGAATGAAGTAGGGAGAATGTCTTTATATTATACTCACATTATTAGTCATACTCATGTGCAATGGAATATTCTACAATTTTTTTTTAATCTGAGGTAACTTTACATGAACTAATATGAGCAAATCTCAAGACATGTTAGGGGAATAAAATAAGATTTTATAACAATGAGTATATAATTCTATTATTTTTTTCTTGTTCTGAAACTTAGCATGTTTAATTTAATTTTACTTTTTATTATTGTGAAAACCACATAACGTAAAGTTTACCATTTTAACCATTTCTAAGTTTGTGGTTCTGTAGTGTGGAGTATATTCACATTGTTGTGAACTAGATCTCCATAACTCATTCATATTGCAAATCTGAAACTCTATACCCATTAAACAATAATTCCCCTTTTCTCCCAAGCCCTGATAACCACCATTCTACTTTTTGTTTCTATGAATTTGACTACTTTAGATATCTCATGTAAGTGGAATCATACAGTATTTGTCTTTTAGTGACTGATTTATTAAACTTAGCATAATGTCCTCAAAGTTCATCCATACTGCAATGTGTGACAGGATTTCCTTCCTTTTTAAGACTGAATAAAATTCAATTTTATGTATATGCCATGCTTTGTTTATTCATTCATCCATTGATGGACATTTGGGCTGCTTCCATCTCTTGGCTAGTTTCATTTTTTAATTGAAAACATATGAGATATGTAATGTCTACATCCATGTATAGTTGGATATTTACGATATAACATATATATATGTATATATATATATATGTATATATATAAACATTTTACCAAAAAATAAGCTTTGAGAGTAGAGGAAGATATCATCTTAATTTATTACCAATATTATTTCTCTAGAGGTATAACCACTTTTATCAGTTCATTGTATATCAGAAAAATATTTTAAATAAATGTATGCATATATATACATTTAAAATTGAATTATGTATGCTATGCTATTGTATTTATTATTCTATTTTTTAAAGCTAGCACTCCTTTAGAGTTATATTTGCATCAGTAAATAGAACTTTACCTCATTTATTTTAACTGTTTATTAAATATATGATTATTCATGATTATGTGGACTGCTTTCACTATTGTGATATCATTTAGCTATTTGTGAAGTATAATACATATACAGAAAAGTATACACACCAGTTAATATGCTTTCACAAAATAAATTCACCTAGATTCGCAAATAGATGATTACCAGCCCCAGAAACTTCCCAGTCACTGTTAACTCTGAGTGGCAACCACTCTCCTGAGTTATAACAACATAAATTAGTGTTGTCTCTTTTTGTACTTCATGTAAATTGAACCATATCCATAACATTCTTTTTTGTGTTTTATTCCTTTCATTCAACATTATGTTTGTGATCCTTATTCCTACTGCTGCAAATACTGGCAGTTAATTTTTTTCGTTCTTATTTCTATACATGCCATTGTATGAATATAAAACAATTTGTTTATTCATTCTGCTTTTGATAATCATTCAGAAAATTTTGACGTGGGCTACTACAAATAGTGCTGTTGTGAGCAATATCATTCATGTATTCTGGTCTACCCATTGCTGTTAGTTCTATAACACGCAGTGAAATTGTTGAGACAACAGAGAATTTATAGATTTAGCTTTAGCAGATCCTGACAAATAATTTTCCAAAGAATATGTACTAATTTGAATTCCAATCACAGGGTGTAAATAAATAGTTTTATCAGAGGTGTGTGAACCAGAGCAACTCCATCTTAAACAGGAGCTAAGTAAAATGAGGCTAAAACCTACTGGGCTGCATTCCCAGACCGTTAAGGCATTCTAAGTCACAGGATGAGATAGGATGTCAGCATAAAATACAGGTCTTAAAGACCTTGCTGATAAAACAGGTTGCAATGAAGGAGCCGGCCAAAACCCACCAAATCCAAAGTGGCAACAAGAGTGACCTGTGGTCGTCCCTCACTGCTACACTCCCACCAGCGCTACGGCATGAATAATCCACCCTTTGTTTAGTGTATAATCAAGAACTAACCATAAAAATGGGCAACCAGCAGCCCTTAGGGCTGCTTTGTCTATGGAGTAGCCATCATTTATTCCTTTACTTTCTTAATAAACTTGCTTTCACTTTGCACTGCGGACTGGCCCTGAATCTTTCCTTGCCCAAGAACCCCTCTTGGGGTCTGGATAGGGACCCCTGTCCTGTAACAGTTTCTTCATTTTATTGTCACATTTAGTATTTTCTACCTTTTTTATTATAGTCATTGGTGGATCTACAGTGGTATCACATTGTGACAGATATACGTGTGCTATAATATGCATGGACCATTTCTAGGAATGCATGCAGTGCTTCAATGATTGCCTATGGTCAGGGAACTAGAATTTGGGTGTCAAGTATATAGAAAAAGTCACTTCTCACTTTACAGTTTTTGATGCTATTTGAAATATTTTAACATGTGCTGTATTACCTTTTTGTGTTCCTTTCTTTCATTTCCTTTTTAATTTCTAAGAGAAAAGTAATATAAGCCTTTAGTATTAGTCTAAAAACCAATTCACTTTTGATCCCAAGGCCACTGGGAGTTGGACAATCACATGGGAAGTGTAAAGCTCAAATTCTCTTGCCAGCCCTTAAGTTTTTGTGGACAGAGCAAGGAGATGGGAAACAGAAAAGGAAATGAGACTGAAACTCCAGAGAAATGTGAAGATCCAGATATTCATGGCCCTCCCAAATATCACTTACTGTTCTCTTTACTATCTGATTATTACAGATGTTGAAAGTTTCTTTTTTTAAATACACACACACGCACACATATATACACACATACATGTATGTATATATACATACACATATATGTATATGTATTTATATACATATATGTATTTATACATATATGTATAAGCATATATGTGTACACACACACACACAAACACACACACATATATATATAAATATTTATTCCACAGGGGTCCAGCCTACAGGTGTGGAAGCAGCTGTCTCTGCCTCCCTGATACTGGCCTATGTTTTCATACTGGCCTGACCTGAACTGGAAATCAACAGAAAAGTCATCAAGCTGACATATAGGTACATGACCAAAATTTCTTGTGCTATTAAAAGAGAAAAAAAAATAAAGCAAAGAGAAAGTATAGAATTAAGAAGTATGATGTCAAGATTTATTCTTTGATTGAATAAAGGTACCCTCAAATGACTCAACTAACAGATGACTAAGGTTTTATGAGTTGTATTGTTAGGGAACTCATACTTGGAAATCAGGTACCTGTGATTCCCTCAAGAACCTACTGGGCCAAAGCTCATATGATTCTTAAGTACTGTTCAGGTTGCAGAGTCTTGTGCGGTGTGATAGTGTGTTCCCTTGTGAGTGTGACAATAAAGATCAATGGACACAGGAGAATAGGTCAAAGCAATGAATTTATGCCAACAGTAGAGAAGAGCTCACCATTAATTCTTTTTGCTTTATTGGACTGTTTCTGTTTTCCCTAACATTGTTTGTTGTGTAAGATCGAATGGTTACGTTTATAATTAGAATTTGGCAGTGGTGCTGTGAGGACTCACATCTGAATTTGATTAAGGGAAATGCATTTTACCCAGAGATGCTGGCCGTAGAACAGGGCGACTTAACAGCATGTCTTTGGATTGTTCCTGTTGGAGAGAGGATGAGTGTATGTTTATTAAGTAAAATAATTATATTAGGTGGAGCTATTCATGGAATTATACACAAATGTGTTAACTAGACAGCTAAAAAATAAAATGAGGAAGATGTAATTTAAGCCCTTTGTTTCCTCACATTTTGTTTATTAACAGCAAGTGTCATTATTTCTGGGGATCCAAGCCTCTCTCTTACTCCATGAGATTCTGGGTGGGACCAGTGTAATAAGTGCCATCCTGTTTTCCTTTTCTAACCTGTATCCAAAAAAATATATCTCCTAGGTCTGACTTATTATATTAGCCATTAGTTTGATCACAGTCATCGGCTTATTTAGGTGATGTCAGCATAAATTATTCTCTGGGATTTAACATGTGGGTGCCAAAGGGGAGAATAGCACATGTGGGTGCTAAAGGGGAGAAAAATATGTATTTATAATTAGCAAAGCATACTAAGCTCAGAGGTAACCTGGCCTTTGAACAGGATTGTTACATCTCAGGTTACCTCTGAGCTTAGTATGCTTTGCTAATTATATGTGTGTGTGTGTGTGTGTGTGTGTGTGTGTGTGTGTGTATACCTTACTTTCCTCTGACCTTAGTAAGCTTTGCTAAGAACAGTCTAGAGTCTTGTGTGGACATATTATTACTACTTTTTCCAACATGGAGGAATCTTACCTGCAATAAGCCAAATGACCAACAACAACAAAAAAGGAAAGCTGATGAAGACAAGAGACAGAGTGACTGACTAGTATGTGTCCCTAAGTTACTAAAGCTTATGTAGCCTCTAAGTAACCTCTGAGGTGGACTTTTCTACAGTCCTATAACTAAGGAAGAACTAATCAAATATAGAAACCATGGCTGAGAGACAAGGTAAAAGTGATGGAAACCTAAGTCTCTGAATCAGTTGGAGGCACATGGATTTTGAGTTTGTCATGGGTATTTGGAAAGTCATAGTCACAATGTAATTGTACATTTTTATGTAAAGAAAAATGTTTCAGCTTGTCACACTCTAAAATTTGTGTCACTATTATATAAAGATGGACTTTTATATAGGTAGATATATAACTTTATGTATAGATTGATACATGGTTTTCTACAGTTTGTCTTTGACTTAAGAACCAACCATAATTTAAGAGGATAATGGATTGTTCAATGGTTAGCAAACATTAAATAGTAGTAAGATATAATATGTTAAACATACTATTGCTTTTATAATCAAAATATGTGCTTACATTAAGTGAATGGAATATCAATATTATGCACAATATGTGGTTATGATTGTCACAGGCAGAACAGAAGCTTTCTCTCTTGACAGGCAATTAACACAGCCTAATAACATGGATAGAGAGATAAACACTCAAGAGGAATAATAAATTTATGTTCTGTTGCTATAAGAGGATAATTTTATGTTTTATTTAAGATTGAAGCTTACATTGATATTAAAAACTGTGCTTAATGGTAGGAGTTTGAATTAAATTCTTACTGTTAAGCCTGTTTAGCAAGTAAAAATAATTCAGTATATTCAACACATAATGTTTTATAAATGCTGTATTGAGGAGATGGATACTTTGCCACCTTAATAGTGGTGTGTAATATGAAGCACACCAAAGGCCTAATACCTTCATTTTATAGCTTTTTACCATTTTCTCAGCTGAAATGACAAAATAAATCTTCCTGGCCCATGTTTTGAGTGAGTTACAGTCAGTAGCATCCTGTGCTCAAAAAAAACAGACTTCACTCAAGGCAAACAGGCGTGTGAGGAAGAACATGTGACTCAGAATTAATCTGAACTTAAAAGACTGTCTTTTCCCTCATGCAGCATCAAAATTGGATGTGTTATATCATAAAGCTTTACCTTCTTACTAAAACTGTGTTTTAAACTGCTTAATTTTGTTGACCAGAGGTAGAGTGGCAGAAAGGAAAGCATATGCATTGATTATTTTTTAGTACACTGAAAGACTGCATGTTTAAGCAATATAAGTTGTAGGTTTTAGGATTATTTGATAAAAGATAAATGCTCATGGGCTTCAAAAACAGTAAACCTATTAAGAGATCTAAGATGACTTGAAATCATTTTAAATACAGTATGCACATTTCCAATGCTTGACTAATAAACTGCTTGAAGTTACTTACCTATTAGCTCATCAAATTGTCTATAATAAGGAGCCTTTATATATAACTTAATACATGTTTTTAAATGGATTATTTAAGGAATTTGATTTTAATATTCTTTCATTCTTTTCTTTTTAACAATAAATGGTTAAATAATTGATTCTTAATTATCAATTTCTCATAATAAAAATGTATATTAACCAAATATGGGTTTTATAATTTTTTTGAGTGCCACTTTAAACTTTTTTCAAGAATTTAAGTCTCTCATAGTTTGCAGCCATGAAGAATACATAGTTTATGCTGTTTGTGTATTGGATATAATGTAGAATGGAATATTATTCAATGACACAGTTCACGCTAGTGCTGATCTCTTTCACTGTAGTGAGGCCACAAATGAATTTGCTAAAATGCATTAAGGTGATTTTAGCAGAATAAAATAATAAAGAGTTTTAAATTGTTTTTCTACTCACTGAAAAATTATACTTTTTAATGATACAAAAAGTATTTGGAATATTCTTGCATATGACTTTGTAAAGAAATATTAGTTTCTCTGCAAAATATTTTAAGTAAAACTCTGCTTGGAAAGAGGTTAGATAAACTTTGGAGGACCCTTCAGGTTCTTGAGTCAGTGATTCTGTGATGTAAGCAAATAAGACAGTATGGATTTGAAGTGGACATGTTTCAGCCAAGTCCTTCTACGAGCCAAGCCAGTCATCTGGTTTTAATGAACCTCCTTTGGAATGCAAAAATTTTAATGTTTTGCTTGGGCCCACTATAGTTTTAATTACTTGTATTTGACATGTGTTGAGCAATAGCTAAGCAGTAGTGATTACCCAACACAACATTTTATGCAGTGCTTGCTTACTTTAGGCTGAAGTGTAAAATATAAGCATTTTTCAGATAGGGTAAAGGGAAATAATTATAAAGATAGGCCATTTGTATTTCTGATTGACGCTTAAGAACATTCAGAATAGTTTAAGGTTAATATGACCTATTGCCCATATTTTTGTACATATTCAGTTATCTCCAAAATATATATTAAAAAATTGTGAATCATGTAACTTTAAATTAGGAGATTATGAATACTTGATCATAACCAGATGTTTTGAATCTCTACTAACTAAAGACAAAAAGGGAAGTAGATTAAATTGCATTAGTTAAGAACAGTTACTGCATTGAAATGGAGTGAATTAGTACCTAAATTTTTAAGTCCAAGGACCTGGTTTTTAATGTCAAAATGTTTTGCAGATATCCACATGGTAGTTATGATAATTTTTGTAAGCTCTGATTAGGAAATTATGTAACAACTAAAAGTATCATGAGGTCAGTGACATTTTAAAATAAATTTATATGTTTTAACTTAGAAAATATTTAGTCATTTAAAAAATATGTGGATATGAGAAATACTATTTACTAAATCTACAAAAATGTACATAATGAATTTTAGGATACCTTACTGTAACTAAGAACCCCCTGAAGCGTCTTTCATCTTGAGTACCAACCTTGTTATTAGAAATTAATCAAACATATTTAATATCAAATTATTATTTAAATAAAGAAGTTCTCAACATCTAACCTATTTTAAAAACATGTATAAAACCATATAAATATAAATAAGCAAATAAATTGATAACTACAAAACAACGCATATACTTTGAAATATATTGAATGCAGATCATTAAAATATTTTTTCTTTATCTGTTGTGAAAAGCCAGCATATGCATTGCTAACCTACATTAGAAGAAAATGTAGACTCTGTTAAATCTCATGGACAGATAGTTTTAAAAATTTGTATTTTAGACATGAAAATATCCTTCATCATTTTTATTAGGTATAATATAAGGTATTCTTTTATTTAAATTTTTATCATTTTATGGTGCTAATCAGAAATACTTTAACGCTTTTAAGCATGCTTATAAGAGTTTGGGTTTGAGCCTACTTCCTTTTGCATAAATTTATTTTGTAGTGAAAAACATGTTTTAAATATATAGACTGTACTTCTCACTGGTTTTACCAACATTATAAATTATATGCAAAAGTGAATGGAATTAACAAGTGTAAATCTGTCATTACTATTATAAAAATCACTTGCTTCTTAACACAGGGGTAATACTCTAATATTAGCATCTAGAAAAAAGATGAATATAGTACCATGAAGTATAGTGCTCATCCTAAAACCCAAAAGGCACAGTGTTCCAATTTTTTGTATTCTATAAACTCAAGTCAATCGGTATTCATAGCATTCTGCTTCGTTACCAGCAGTATTCTAAGTTCTGATATGGTGGCTACAAAAGAGGAAATGTAAATGGTTGCTGAATTCACATAAGTTAAAGTATATGTACTGAGACTGCACTCATTTACTGTAGTTTCATCTACAGTAGTCTCCCCTTATACACAGTGGATACTTCAAAAATCCCCAGTGGATGCCTACACCATGGATAGTGTCAAGCTCTATATAGTATATACTATGTTTTTCCTGTTCATACGCACCCATAATAAAGTTTAATTCAAACATTAAGCACAATTAGAGATCAATAATAACTAACAATTGAATAGAATACTGTAATAATAGTTATGTAAATGTAGTTTTTCTCACTATCCCTCTCTCTCTTAAAATTTCTTATTATACTATACAACTGGTAGCTGAAACCTTGGAGAGTGAAACAACTGATAAGGGAAGACTACTGTAGAAAAGGAGTAATTTTTCTATGCCAGTTGGCCAGTGATAAGAACTTTACAAGTCTGACTGTATTATCATCACAAACAAGATTGTAATTCGATACATCTTTATATTAACAGGGGCTGGTGGGATTTCCACTGACCTTTTTTTTTTTTCTTTTTTAGTCCAACCAAATCAATTTCTTTGGCTTGTTTATGAAAATCATATTAGACTTCTTGTTCACAAGTGTCAATTGCACTAACCAAATAGAGTTGGCTGATTTTTCTTTGCTCATAAAGGTGAGAGTTAACATGATTAATACCAGACTGTTCAATGTTGATAGAAGAATCTGAATAATTATGATGATAGGCTTTAGTATATTCATGAGGGTTTCTTGGGATTACAGAGGGTGAATAACAAGAACAAATTTCTGTTCACAATACATTCATAGATTTTTATCAACAAAATTAAATAATTATTTTCTAATCATCCCTAGCTTAGTAAGTTACAACTTCATTCTCCCAATTTTGAAAGCCAAAACTTTGAAGTCATTTTTGATGGCAATTTTTCTCTTATAGCACACATCAATTAATTAGCAAATTCTGCCATCTCTGTAGTCAAAGTTTGTGCAAAATCCATGTACTCTCACAGTCTTGACAATTACCACCTAGTCGATGCACTCAAAGTATAAAAATAAACTCCTAATACATGAATAAAGCATTGAATAAAGTACATTCCCAGCATGTAAGAAAATTAGTGGGTGACTGAGACAAAGAAAAAAATGATTAAGGTAGTGTAAAACTATATACGTTTTTTAATATGTTAATAAACATGCATGCTTATTGTGTATGTTTATACACATTAAATGTAGCCTTACAAAATCTAGAATAAAATGAAATATTCTAATATAATGCAATCAATTCATAGAATTAAAGTGTTTTTTAATATGATATCCATTAGTGATCTTCAGTAATGCTATATTTCCCAGGATCTGCAGTGATTCAGCATATTTCTCCAAGTTTGCAACATTTCATGACCAGAGCTTCTTAAATTTAAATGCTAGGATGCTTTAGGTATAACTCTCTAAAACTGACTATGATAGATCATAAATGCTGCTTCTTATTTTTTGGAACAAATTATATTATTTAATATAATTAAATATAAGTTAAAATGACTATTATTAGAAAAATATATCCATCAAACAATTTTAGGCTTTTATTTTATAATTTACCATTAAAAACAAAGAAAATCATCTTATAGGACTAATAATGTTGGCCAAATAAGAAATCCACTAGAATTGTTACACATTTAAATCTGGTAGATGAAATTTTTCTTTTTTTGTCTCCATCTTTTTTCTTTTTCTTTTTCTTTTTTTTAAACGAAGTTTCGCTCACATTGCCCAGGCTGCAGCGCAATGGATTGATCTCAGCCTGCTGCAACCTCAGTCTCCCAGACTCAAGCAATTTTCTTGACTCAGCCACCTGAGTAGCTGGGATTACAGGCGCCTGCCACCATGCCCAGCTAATTTTTGTATTTTTAGTAGAGACGGGGTTTCACCACGTTGGCTGGTCTCGAACTCCTGACCTCAGGTGATCCTCCCACCCTGGCCTCCCAAAGTGCTGGGATTACAGGCATGAGCCACCACGCCTGGCTGTCTCCATCGTTTTTTATACTTTATTAAGGTATAATTGACAAATAAAAGTTATATATATTTATGGTGTAAAAAGTGACATTTTGATACATGTATGCATTATAAATTGATTAAATCAAGCTACTTAACATATTCATCACCTCACATACTTTTTTTTGTAGTGATAACATTTAAGATCTGGTCTCTTAGCAATTTTATGTATTAAAAACTTTATTATTAACTATAGTCAGCAAGTTATATATTAGATATTCATAATTTATTCATGTAATTGTAACTTTATATGCTTTGACCAACATTTTTCCATCCCCCACACGCAGCCGCTGTCAACCATCGTTCTACTCTCTGCTTCTATAAATTCAGGTTTTTAGCTTCTACATGCAAGTGTGATCATGCAGTACACATCTTTCTGTTCCTGGCTTATTTTACTTAACAATGTTCTCCATGTTCATCCATGATGTGTAAATGAGAACATTTTATTACTTTTATGGCTAAATAGTATTTCATTTTGTATATAACCACATTTATGGATCCATTCATCTGATGATGGACACAGGTTAATTTCATATCTTGTTTATTGTGAATAATGCTGCCATGCACATGAGAGTGCAGCTATCTCTTTGATATACTGATTTCATTTTTGGGGGATATATACCTACAAGTGGGATTGCTGGACAATAGAGTAATTCTATTTTTAATTTTTTGAGGAACCCCCATTCTGTATTACATAATGGCTGTACTAATTTGCATTCTCACCCAAACGGTACAAAAGTTTTCTTTTCTCCACATCTTCCTCAATACATGTTATGTTTGGTATAATAGCTAATCTAACAGATATCTCACTGTGGTTTTAATTCTCATTTCTCTGATAACTAGTGATGTTGAACATTTTTTTCATATATCTGTTGGCCATTTTTATGTCTTTTAGTTATTAAGTCTTTATAAGATGTATAGTTTGCAGGTATTTTCTCCGATTTTTAGTTTTTTTCTTCACTCTATTGATTGTTTTCTTTGCTATGCATTAAACATTCAGTTCGATGCAGTCTCTTTTGTCTATAATTGCTTTTGTTGCCTGTGTTTTTGGGTTCATGTACAACAAAATATTGTCCAGACCAATGTCAAGAAAATTTTCTCATAGTAGTTTGGCAATTTCGGGTCTTATGTTTAAGTCATGAATTCTTTTTTTTTAACTTTTGCATATGGAGTGAAATGAGGTTCTAATTTCATTCTTCTGCAAGTGGATATCTTGTTTTCCAACACCATTTATTGAAGAGACTATTTTTTTTCCTGTTTGTGTTCTTGGCAAATTTGTTGAAGATTAATTAACTGTAAATGTGAAGATTTACTCTTAGGCTTTCTGTTTTGTTTCATTTGTCTCTATTTCTGTTATTAGTGTTAGTACCATCTGTTTTGATTACCATGGTTTTGCAGTAAATTTTGAGATAAGGAAGTGTGATGCCAGTACTTTTGCTCTGTTTTGCTCAAGGTTGCTTTGTCTCTTTGGCATCTTTTTTGGATTTTACAAATTTTAGATTTTTTTTTCTATTTCTGTAAAAATTGTTACTGTAATTTTGATAAGGATCGCATTGATCTGCATATTTCTTTGGGCAGTATCAGCATTTTAATAATATTAATTATTTCAATCCATGAACATGGGATATCTTTCCATTTATATGTGTTGTCTTCAATTTCTTTCATACATGCTTTATAGTTTTCAGTGTATAGATCTTTCACCTTCTTGGTTATATTTATTCCTAAGTGTCTTTTTAAAATGTCATTATAAATGAGACTCTTTTCTTTATTTTTTTAATTGAATAATGTATAGAAACACTAATGATTTTTGTATGTTGATTATGTATCCTGCTACTTTATTTAATTTGTTTATTAGTTCTAACAGTTTTTCATTTAAATGGTATTTATTATCTTTCAGTTTCCAGGTGCTGTGCTCAGTCCAGGAATACAATGATGAATACGATCAAGGCCCTTTCAGAGCTGACACACACTATACATAATGCATCAAAAATTGCGTTCTCGCTATATTTCTGTTTATTTGGTTTTATCTGCAAGAATATAGATAGCATCTGCTTTGATATAAAACTTTTATGTGTCTTATGTAGTTGATTTGTAAATGTCCTATCTATAAATATAAAACAATAAATTACTAGTTACAGTTAACTTAGGAAAACTTTTAATCATGTCCTACATTTTACACCTTGTAATTTCTACCAAATGTTTGTATTTTTATGTCTTATTAAATATAATAAATATTTGTCTTAACATATTTTAATAGAATTCCTCATATGTTTTGCAGAAAGCTAATTATGGTTTTCCATGTGATTTTTCTTTCATATATACAGTATTATTTAAAATAAATTTGTATAAAATAAGCCAAGTGTTTTTTATTGTAATGTGTATATTACATTAAGAAATACTATACATTCTCTAATGCCATTTTATATGCAATCTTCTAAGCACTAAGTTTATATTTACCAGGAAAAGGTTCAATTTGGTGACTTAGGTCATGGCTTTTTTATTCTTTATTTAGAGTTGACAGTAGTGTAGGCGTATGTCTGGGCCATTCGCCCAACTATACCAATGGTTCCCTTTCATTTTCTTTCCCTGATTCAGCATCAAGCATGAGTTACATATGGTCACCAATCTTCCAGACAAAAAATAGCTAAAGAATAGTAAATTTTTCCACTACATTAGTCATCTGGGACTCCTCTCTGTGGTCAGTACCTGCATGGAAAAAGGATTAAAAAAGCATTTTCACTGATAACAGTCCTTCAAATATATTATTTTTTCAAAGATCATCAAACCACAAAGATAGTTCCAGTCAGACATCCAGATGTTTACTCTGAGTCACAGAGTAGCTATCAAACACTGTGGTAAGGGATTCCCTAAGTAGGTAACCGAGTTTTCTGTAGACAGCAAAGGCTCTTAGACATGGATTTGAGTAATCAAGTTTTATTTAGTTTGCTGACTTTCAAGTTTCATTCCATGGCTTTTTTGACTACTCTGTATAAAATTTGGAGCTATGTTTTATAATAAATACAATGCAGAATAGAGCAGAGTTCCCACAATGAGGTAGTTCATAGATGCATCAGATGTGCTTAAGAAACTATAAAAATAGCTAAACACCTAGACACATTATAATTAGCACTGTCAAATATCATTGGAACAATTTAGAGGATAAGGGTATCACATCTGTTTGGAAATATCAAGAAGTCTTCACAAAATTGATTCTACACTTTATGAGACTGAAGGATTTCAACACACAGAAAGAGGGTGACATTTTAGGGAGAAGCAAAGTTATGAGCTTGTATTAGACTTTTGTGACCATAGGAAATTATTGGGATTAAATCGTGAAAACTATGCAGAGCTTTAATTTTGGATGCTGACTTGGGCAATTTTTATTAAATTTGGTAGCTTTTTTTTTAGTATAATTACATTTTCTAAGTGTGATCTAGAAAATTTAATCTGAAGTCTTGAGTAGAATGAAATAACATAGGGCAAGAATAAAGAAATGAAACCAATGAGGAGATAACGACACCAATGAAGAGATAAGAGAACAATGAGGATGCCATACAAAGTACAAAAAAAAAAAAAAAGAGAGAGACAGAAAAGAAAGGAAAGGAGAAATGTATTGACAAAGTAGAAATTATACTGCCTAACTAGCTAAGAAATACATTTGACAAACTATGCTAAACATTTCTGTTATTTTGAATTGGGACTTGTATATTGCAGACATTTTTATTAGATTGAGAGGTAGGTTAGTAGACTTGGCTTTCACCCTATTAAATTTGTAGTTCCATGAATTCTTCTGGGCAGTTTATCTAGTAGACAATTAAAATTAGAGAACTGAAAGTCCAGAGAAATCTAGACATAATTCAACTGGTGGTAATTGTGAAATTTGTTAATTATTGAAATCAAAGTCTTATATTTTATTGACAATGTTATAGGGTATTCCATGTGTAGTATGATTAGCTTTATGCTACAATCGTTTTCAGCAAATTTATCTCAATTTTGCTTTATGCGTTGGCTGTAATTGACAAGCTTGGGTGTGCAATGACTGGGACAGATGGTCTCATTATCCATACCCATTTATCTTTTCTTTCTTAATTTCATTCATTACTCAAATAACAGTAAATGATTACTATGTGCTCAACAGTATGTAAATTACAGTGCTGTATAAAATTGAGAGATACACAGGTTTTTTTTTCCCTCAAGATACTAAGGTTGGTTGAGGAGTAGGATATCATTGCTAATTGAAGTATGGTTTTAGAATCATGAATTCAAAAATTCCATTACATTAACTGATTTGTCATACAAGGCTCAATTAGAAATCAGGAATAATTAAATATGTTTACCTAAAAATATCTGAGTGTCATTTGACAAATACATAAAGAAAGAGTGATTCAGCAATCTGTATTCATGACAAGTAAGAATCAGATTTTGGCAATACTTGCCCTTCTTTGAAAAGTTGTCTTTTGCAGTTTGCCTTAGAAAACAATTTGGAGAATATTGCTTGTTGTTCATAATATGATTGAAGTTTCATACTATTACAGCTAATATTTTTGATTCATGAACTTCACTTACTCCTCTCCAAATTTGTTTTAATAAGCCACATCTAGATTTTTAAAATTTGGAATGTGAAGGCAGACTTCTATGCCACCAATTATTTTCCTAACCATTTTCCCTTTTCCTTTCCTTTCTTTTTTCTTTTCTCTTTTAAAAATTTTTCTTCTCCTTTTTCCTTTTCTGAATAAATCAGAGACCAAGATTCTGTGTTTGCATATATCAGCACGTATGGCCCTAAAATACATGTAATGTTTCATTTAATTCAAAACAGTCTTGGTGGATAACAATAATTGGGTGAACTATACAGATAGGCTCCTCCTTGGTTCTTCACCAAATAAGCCTAGTTCTCACAAGCTTTGCTCTCTATAATCCTGGCACCTGAACAACATTAGAAACATTGCAATCCATCTAAAATAAGGAAGGTTTTCTAATAGTTTTAGAACTACAAAACTATAGCTACTTTCAAATTACCTTTTAAGTTTTGAAAACTTTAATTTCAGAATTTTATCTTGACTTATACCATGTATACTTGAATATATTACCCGTTATTGTTAACATTTAATTTCCTTTTTGTTATAGTTAAGGAAAAAATACATATTAATAAGAATAGCAATATCTATACAATAGTTTTTTGGGTGTGCCATCTATGCCTGGAAAAATATTAGATTAGACATAAAACACAGGTAGTTTTATGAAAAATTTAGTTTTCATTTTCTATTTGGTCACCTTTACTTTTCTGAATTACCTATAAAAATGGGCACATGAGCAAAACATTGATGTCTTATAGAGGACAGTACTAACAACATTAAAAAAGAAAAAAATTACCCCCAGCGATTTATGCTACTTTTAAGATAGGTTTATTCAGGAGGTTAGGGCTTACCAGTACCTCTCTACCTCCACTATGAACTTCACTAAGAAGATTGTGTGGGAATTATCACTAAATTGGTGGTGTTTTCATTAGTTATGGCATCTAACCAAAGACATCTGAGGGGCCATATCACAAATTTGAAACAGCAGAGAAAACTTGCCTTTTGTTTTCCTTGTGGAGTAATTAACTGAAGGTGCAGAGTATCATTTCTCTGTAAATTACTTGGGATATATTTTTAAATTAACCATCTCCAAACATTTTATGTATAAATAGCATTTTATAATTCCATGCTGTAATTACTTCCTCATGCTAAAATCAAAGTTGGTAAAAATATATCAGCCTCTTTTATTGGACTTATTTTTTATACTCTTCCCAGTTTACCCATTGGGGATACACTCTCCAAAGTTTTTTTTTCCATAAAACAAAACAAACAAACAAACAAACAAAACCTTTAGATGTTTGGGTTTCCATATTTAGCCAAAGAAAACATTGGATGTAGACATCCAATGTTTCTTTATTAAATTTTTAATTCTTTATTAAACTCCTGTCTTTTATTTGAATTTTCTTTTTACCATTTCTTGTTTAAATCTATACAAGACCATGGTCCTCTAAAAGCCATCAATTTTACTTTAAACCAAAATTTTAATTTACATATTTTTTCAGAATTCTAAATTGAGCCCCAATGATTACTCTTACAGTACAATAGCGGTGTTAATATAAGAGTCTCAAAACTTATACAGGAAAATAGTAACAGGTTTTGATAGAAATTTCAAATGTTTACCTACAAAACCATATATAATGAGATTAACATATGGCTGAAACACAACACTCATATCTTATTAAAATGATAACTCCATGGAAGTGGAATATTTTATATCCTTATTTTAAAAGCTAGCTGTGTTAGTTTGGCTGGGCTGCCATAACAAAGTACCACAGACTGGATGACATAAACAACAGGAATTTATTTCATACAATTCTGAAAGGCAAAATGTCCGAGATCAAGGTGTCAGCCAGGTTAATTTCTTCCGAGGCCTGTCTTGTTGGTTTGCAGATGGTCATCTTCTCTGCGTATGTTCATATGGGCTTTCTTCTGTGTGTGTCTGTATCCAAATTTCCTCCTCATGTAAGGACACAACATATACTAGATTATGGCCCATTTTAATGATTCCATTTAAACTTAATTACCTCTTTAATTACCCTATCTCCAAGTACAGTCACATTCTGAGGCACTCTGGGTTAAGGCTTCAACATGTAAATTTTGGGAAGAAATAATTCACCATAATATAAGCTGTTAAATTTAAAATGCTGTATTTAAAACACTATCTACATGCTCTATTTTAGAAGTAAGCACAGGTTAAGAGTTGAAAAATTGTTAATTATATATAAAGCCAGAATTAGTAATTCTTCCAGAAGCAAAACTTATTTTCTTCTTTGAATAATATCCTTAGTATTTTGACTGGAAAATGTTCATTAACTAGAATTTTAAGCACCTAATATCTAAATTCATTGGTAGATTTTACTGCCAATTCATTTGTGGTAACTTTGTTACTTTGTCTTGGAGAAGACAAAGATCAATAAGATACTGGTTCTGTCCTTAAAATATCCACTCAAGATTCAAGGGGGAAGGCATATTATTCCAAGAAAGAAATGGCTATTTTTCCTGAACAAATTATCATGGACATAATATAAACAATTTTCTACTGTTCTTTATTTTTTTCATTATAATTTCGCTAGCACTGTCAAATTTAGGTAATGCCTTCATTATATAGAAATTAAATACTTATTACTTTTAAATGTTAATACATTTTGTTGCAATTCAGTTCTGGAACAATGAAATGCTTAACAGGAAGAGGAAAAAGATTCAATTCTATGGGTCTGCATAGCAACCAAATTAAAAATAGTCTAAAAATACCTAGAATAAGGCAAGGGAAAAACTGCATGATTCATTTTTCATTTTGATACTTCAATGTTTTTGACACTCTTTACACTGATGTAGGATTTTTCTTCTTGGTCATTTTGTAAGCCAGGACCCACAGCTGGCAATGCTCTGCCTGGGCCTCACTTGGCCATGCTGGTGTGCCCCAGGTTGCCTGTGTTGTAGCTTGCACTCACATTTGGTGGTTCCTGAGCTCTTGCACCATGTCCAAGAAGAATGAAGATACACAGGACATTGAAGGAAGGGGAAGATGGAGAAGAATTTTATTGAGTGAAGGAAATGGCTTTCAGAGAAGAGGGGATCTAGGATTGGTCCCCCTACTTGAAGGCAGGAAAGGTCCCCCACCTCATGTGGCTGGGTCTGGGGCCTTTTGTTGATACAGAATGGGGAGTGCGTGCTGATTGGTTTGTGAGTATGAAAAAAAAGATTAAAGCAAAGACACCACTCAAAGGTGGGCACCACAGTGTAGAAAATCAATTAGGAGAGGGTAGACATATGTAAAATAGGTGAAGAGTGGGGAACTATCAGAGGAAAGCATGCCAAATGGGAAGACAAGTTCTCAATCCAGTGCAAGGATATAAGTTGTAGCTTGGCTTTCAGGCTTTAAACTGTCTTTGGCTTGAGGTGGGGTTTCACCAGCAATTCCCCATCCGCCTAGGCATTTAGCTGCCTCCTGCCACTCTCAGTACTACTAATAAATAAGCACTGAGTTAATTTAGCTTATTTTCTGTTAAAACGTTTTATATTGTAAAGTATGGAATACTGATCTTTAGTAAAGATAGCCATACAATTGGAAAAAAATCAATGTAAAGATAATGAGTACGTATTTAGTTTTGTCCAATATCAATCATTGCTTCTAGTATACATATGTAACTAACCTGCACAATGTGCACATGTACCCTAAAACTTAAAGTATAATAAAAAAATAAAAAAAAAGAAAAAAGAAAATAATCTCTCACTATCTCTTAATTTTATAGTTCATTTGAATATTTTCTAACACAGGATTTTGCTAATTCACATTTTAAACTGTTTTTGGGAAACTAATTTATGTTAACACAACTTCGTAAACATTCATGCCCATGTTCCCTCTTCTCTGCAGATTAAAATTTTTCATCATAGCCATTATATCTCGTTCTGATACTGCTAAGGCAAAGTAAAGGTAAAAAGAGGTAAGTGCTCAGAAGAGCTAGAAATGTAGCTTTTTTTTAATGATAGCATGTACTGGTAACCTTATATCAAATTCCATCACCGTATAACTGAATATTAAACTAAAAAGTATATAATAATATGTGTCCTGTATGTATCCCTAAAGTGCATTTTATTATGGCCAATGTATCAGAATACGTTAAGCTGGATATACTCACCTGAAAGAGGAAATAAATATTTTTTTTAAAAAATCAGTCTGAAGGAGGATTGTCCATCTTTTTATATATTAAAAAAACTGAGCCAGGGGCAGTGGCTCATGCCTGTAATCCCAGCGCTTTGGGAGGCCAAGGCAGGCAGATCAAGAGGTCAGGAGATCAAGACCATCCTGGCCAGCATGGTGAAACCCAGTCTCTACTAAAACTATAAAAATTAGCTGAGTGTGGTGGCGCATGCCTGTAGTCCCAGCTACTCAGGAGGATGATGCAGGAGAATCTCTGGAACCCAGGAGGCAGAGGTTGCAGTGAGCAGAGATGGTGCCTCTAAACTCCAGCCTGGTGACAGAGCGAGACTCCATCTCAATAATTTATAAATGAATAAATAAAAATTAAAAATTAAAAAAACTGAAAAGAGAATTCTCTAGTCTATCGCTTTGCTGTTTTTATTTAATGAATACAAACTTCCCATCATTTCTCCTTTTTTTCTTGCTATTAACATGGAAAGAAATACATAATTTTGTATTTGTATTTAGTAGCTCTTTAGCTACAGTTTCCCTTTCCCTTTCTCTTTCTTTCTTTCTTTTATTAGAACAAATTATGTAAGGACATTATATAAATTTTCTTAGATATTATGTTTTCCTCTTCTAAAATTTTCATTTGGTTCCTTTAAATTGTTTTCATTTCCCTTAAGATTTCTTACTCGTTCATTACAAGCACATTTTCCTTTATACCCATGCACATAAATATAACAACTGTTTTATCTAGTAATTTCAACATTTTTGTTATCTCATGTTGGTTCCTTTCTTACTGAATACAGGTCACATTGCCTTTCTTCTTAAATACAGATCACATTTTCTATGTGTCCTGAGTATTGTGGATGAGAATATTGCAGACATTCCAATTTTGGTTATATTCCACCAAAGTTTAATGAGTTTTGTTTGTAATAAAATACTGTTAAATTGGCTAAGTCAAACACAGCTTTCCTGAAGTGGTTAGCAGCAGAAATTTGTTTAACTCTTTCAGCCTTAGCTGGGCTGTTTGAAATCTGTCACATGCATCCATCATTCAGCAGTTGGCTAGAGATTTGAAAAGAGCTCATGTGCAGGATTTGAGGATGTTTCCCCCCAAGGATCCCCCCTTTTGTGGAATTCTTTCCAGTTGTAATAGCTCTCCTTTCCTATGGCTCTTCATGCCATTAAGCTGTAAGATTCTAAGTTTTTGTCATTTTGTATGCCACCAACTGGGGCCTGCTTTTAAGGTAAAAGCTACTAAAAACAAAAACAAAAACAAAAACAAAAACAAAAAACATGAGAAAGTCCTCTAGCTTCTGCTTGCTTTTGGTCATTCTCCAGTACCTCTAGATAATTTACCTATATTATTTATTTATTTTTCTCCTAAGATCATAATTGTTATTTCTTGGAGAAAAGGTCTGACAACATCTACTCTATCACTATCAGGGCAGAACTTTCTATATAAATTAACATATCTAATCTTCCAAACTTATCTCTAACACAGAATAGTTATTTCATTAAATTTCATGACACATATGTAGCTCTTTTAAGAATGGTGCTATTCAACATATCCTCATCTTGCTCCCCAATCAGATGAAGAGCAAAACTATTTGTTTTACTAATATTATGTTTAAAATATGTCTACAACATAGACATATTTGTATAGACATATTGTCCTACAACAATATTCAGTAACCAATATTTTCTGATCTCCATTCAACTTCCTCCACATAAAACAGTACACATACAATAATTTTACCTCAGGAATGTAATAAAAATGTGAGTGAGACTGTAACACATAATAAAAAATTACTTATGAAAAAGTCTATATGTTTTCATTTTAATATAAAATGTGTCTGGCTTATAATTCATGCTGTTTTATAATAACCGGCAGCATTTTGAAAAGGTTGGTGGCACATTATAACATGATGCATCCTATGACTGAAAGTGTCTTTGATTTGAGGGATTAATGTAAACATTTTTGCATATATGCATATAATGTTGAAGGAATCACAATAAACTTGTGGAAAATATACTATACCGTTTGGATTCACTTGGATTTAAAGTAATGTACTTCACTAATTATAAACCAAAATCAGCATACACTTGTTTCATTCATTTTACTGTAATCTTAAAATGTGCCAATAAAAATTGCACATAAAAGTGTAATTTTTTTCCTAGTTGCTTTCATGTATATGTGAGTGTGCCCCTGTATGTGTGGAATCAGACAATAAATTGAACATTAATCAGTAAAACACCATCTTCTACAAAAATCAAAGTGAGCGCTTTACTATAAAATCAAAGTCTCAGCATATTAAGAGTAAAAACCCAAGGGATAGATATGAATCTCATATGGATTATAGAATAAGGAATAAAAGTCACTGTGTTTCCTGTCTAACATAGAAACTTCAGCTGAAAAATATTAATGACAAAGCAAAAAGTTTATAAAATACATAAAAGAAATGTGTTTTCAAAACTAGGCATTTGGCCAACTGTGACTGTGTCTGATTCTATATATAGTTTTTAAAGCCAAGACTGTCAAAATGAACTTGAACTAAATTACTAGAATTATGAAATTCCCTATAGAGACAATAGCCATTAAATAGCTGTGGCCAAAAAGAGTTAAACATTCTCTATTTGATTTCCTTCTTTTGATCTTCTCACCATGATTTAAATGTTAGAAGAATGTTAATAGTGATGCCACAAATTCTAAGCAGTTATTTATTTACATAATTCCAGTTATGTGCTAGAGGAGGAGATTGAACCTACTGACATGCTTCTCTAGGAAGAGGTTGGTCTTAAAAACAGGGAAAGAAAAGAAATATATGAGATTAACAATAAGTAAAGAAACTTAGACTTAACTTTAACAACATCAATAAAAATTAGAGTTGGAATTGGAGACTGATTTGTAATAACTCTGTCTCCTGTGTGGCTGACCTCATGTTAATTAAACTCTTTGCTGCAATATCATGGTATTAGTGTTTTGGTTTTGTCTGTGCAGCAGGTAGGAAGAACCTGCCAGGCAATTATAAATTTGGGAGCTCACCCAGGATGTACCCTTGCAGATGCCTGTCTGAGGTTTGTCAGCCCACTACCGGTACACAGACCTGGAGGTGAAATCTGGTGGCCACTTGTTTCTCTTGAACTGACGGCCATCTGTGGTGCTGTCCCTGTTGGGGGCAGTATTACTGACCTATAGTGCCTGGACCTAATTGCAGTGGAGAAATAGTTCTTGGAAGACATCTTTAAACTGGTCTGGTGAGTATTTTAAGCGCAGCCAACAACTCCTTCCCTCTCTGAATTGGTTGACTCCTTCGAGGGTCATGGTTGGCACCTTCTGGGATCTTGACCCGCTCTCTCTAAATGATAAGAAGCGTCTTTGTTTGGGGAGATTTATCCCCAGTTAGATGGAAAATAGGAGGTTCCTTTGGAAAAATACTCTTAGAAAATTTTTGTTAGAAATCTTGGTTTTGAAGGCCTTTTTTCCTTTACCGTGTTGTGTGTGTTTGTAAGTGTGGAGAGGATTTCCCAAAAAAATTGCTGGCAGAAGTTCTGTAGGCTCTCCTAGTTTGATTGACTATTCACATTTGGTGAGCCCTGAAGGAAGCTCATTAGGCCTAACTCAGAGTGACTATCCACTCTTCTACCTTGACTGGAGACCATCCGTATAACTTTTGGTCAAAGATCATTCCATCCCATTTTGAGTGGATAAAATATAACAGGGCCAATGGAGGCAAGTTTGAGCTTTGTCATGTCAATACTTGGGTGCTGAGTGGGTAAATGGTGCACAGACAAAACCAATTTATTAAGACTATGATATTGCAGTAAAGAAATAATTTAATTTACATGAGGTCAGCCACATGGGAGACAGAGTTATTATAAATCAGTCTCCAACCCTAGCTGTAATCTTTATTGATGATATTGAAGATATTGAAGTTACTTGTTTCTTTACTTATTGTTAAGCAAAATTGTGGTCTCTTGCCTATGGTGCCATTAAATAGAAAAGGATAATTTTCTTTTGTAACACAGCTTGGCCCCTACTGCTATGGTGCTGTGAGCAGGATCATCAAAACCTGCTGTGTTCTTCCAGAAGCTGCAGACAAGGGAACCCAGAAACCTCTCAAGCTGGCAAAAGCATACTAATTCCTTAGCAGCCAGGCTACTAGTCTCTCTCTCTCTGCCTCAACCAGTGGACTGAATGGTAAAAATCACTGTTTTTCTTCTCTGCAAGATTCTGATTAATGGGAAAAATGATTTGTGAGACTAGTATTAGGCTCTAGTAAATCTGATGTACTTTGTGCTATAAATGTGTCTTGTTGTGTTATTCAGTCATAAAGAGGGCTACCATAGGATACAATGCAGGCCTGGGACTCCTATAACCTTGTGTTCAAACTGAACTTGCAGATTGGTCAATTAAAAATTTAGAGGCATTTCCCTTAGGCAAAAAATCCGGATATGGTTTCCCTCTTGTTTTAACCCTCAAGAGCTTGACTTTGTGATCATGTAGGGATTCTCTCCCTTGGTCTCTGCCATCCAGAGGGTGGGAATTTTCAGGTTCATATTAGGTTACTGGTCTGAAAGGACTAAGAGTCTGAGATGCATTAGCACATTGTTCATCCCAAATGTGTCAAGCCCTCTGATGAGTTTTGTTTTAAAATGTCCCATACTATGGGGTTTTTGTCCTCTTTTGCTATATTAAGCCCCTTTCTGGGGGTGAATATTTGGGGATCGTGAGGATGCCTCCTCTATCATCTCTCCAGGAATACCTCTTCTGTAGTTGATAAGAACCTGGAAAATTACCATCTGAGTTTGAAAAGGGCTTTTGGATTGAGTTGCTATTTGAACTAAGTATGCCATTGAAAGAAAAATATTTTTATAGCTATTTTATTCTCAACAATTGAATAAAAAGCTTTAAACTTAGAAAATGATATATAATAATGTCATGGATTCTCCTGGGCAGTGAAAATTCTTTGCAAGCTTGATGGCTGTTCTAGACTTCTTTTCAGAAAAGTTCTGGCAACTGCCCAATGCTGTAGCTTGGTAGCTAAGGCTTTGCCCTTTCATGATGGTGGCCTGGGTTCATATTTCTGGTTTAGGAAATTAGAATTTTTTGGCTTAATACCTGGGGGAATTTTGCTACTTATTGATTATTTTTTCCCTCCATGGACAGCTTCTGATGTTCAGTCTTGCACCATCTCATCTTACAGTGGTTCCCTCCTTTGGGGGATTCAGGATTTGATGTAAAAATTGGATCCTTGACTTTTGGGGATCTAGTCTGCCTTCCACCTATCCCTCCCCATTAGACCTAGAAACTGCATGCTTTCTTGGTGCTGCTCCTTATAAGATTCCACCCTTAAGCCAGTAATACAATTAAGAAACTTACATCTAAGAAAATCACCACACGTAAGGATGTCCTTCTTTTGGCCATTTGAACTTCTACTCATACCATTTTCTCAGAGTTTGAGTAAAACATTAATTATCTGTTTTGTTTCACTTAAGAATTACTCCTTTAGAAATGCAAATTTAGAATTGTCTAGCTGTTTAGGACAGGGAACAGGTAATCAAGAGACTAGTGGCCATTAAATTCTAGGAAACACCTGGGTACCTGTAGAGTTAGCAATGTCCCTTGGCTGTGCTGGGAAAAGTCAGACATGGTCAGGAGTTCTATTTTTGTCCTTGGTTCTGCAATCTAATAGATAAATTAAGTTACTTACTTGGCTGATGGGTGGAGCAAGATGGCAGATAGAAGGCTCCACTGATTGTCCCTCCATCAACGACACCAATTTAACAACTAACTATACAAATAAAGCACATTCATAAGAAACAAAAATCAGGTAGGCACTCACAGTACCTGGTTTTAACTTCATATTGCTGAAATAGGTACTGCAGAGGAAAGAAAAATAGTCTTGAATAGTCAATGCCACTCCTTTCCCATCCCCCTAGCAGGGGTGCTGTGGTGATGAGAGCATTTCTGTTCCCTGTGGAGAAGGAGAGCCAATAATTGTGATGCATTGAACTCAGTGTTGCCCTCATTATAGCAGAAAGCAAAACTAGACCAAACTCAGTCTCACCCATGAAGGGTGCATTTAAACCAGTCATAGCCAGAGAGGAATCACAAATCCCAGTGGTTGGAAATTAGGTTCCTATACTCCTTGCTACCACAGGCTAAAGTACTCTGGGGTGGCAAATTAATCTCAAACATAGATGAAGCCACTAGAACTGCAAAGCCTAAGCAAGTTTTTGTTCTGAGCTGTGCCTAGGTACTACATTGAGGGCCTTGGGTGAGATGCTGAGACTTGCTGGACTCAGGTGAGACCCAGCACATTCCCAGCTATGGTGGCTGTGGGGCAATACTCCTGATTAAAAATAATAGAGGAAAAAGTAAAGGGGCTTTGTCTTGCACCTTAAGAACCAGCTCAGCCACAGTGGGGGTAGAGCACCAAGGAGGCTCCTGGTGTCCCAAATTCTAGGACTTCACTCTTGGATAGAATTTCTGGACCTACCCAGGGCTGACCTACCCTCACCTGTAAGGTGAGCCCCAGGCTGGACAACATTTACTAGAAGCTGACTAAAGAGCCTGTGAGCCTTAAGGAAACCTTGGCAATAATCTGGTAATACCCCCCACTGGACTAAGGTGGCAGTGATTACAAGGTAAGGTACCTCTGCCTTTGGAATGGGGAGGGAAGAATGGGAAGGACTGTGCCTTGTCATTTGAGTGCCAGCTTAGCTGCAGTACAGTAGAACCCTAGGTGGACATCTAGTTTTTGATGCTAGGCCTTGGCTCCTGGACAGCATCCCTGGACCTACCCCAGGCCTGATGGAACTTGCCACCACCCAAAGGGAAGGAAATAGACCTGGGCTGGCTTTGCCAACCGCTGGTTGTAGCCCAGCCCTCTCCCAGGGCTTTGAGCAAAAACATAGGTGGTAGCCAGGAATTGGTTACAGCAGGCCTTGGATGAGATCCAGCACTGTACTGGATTCAGGTCTGACACAGCACAGTCCTAGGTGTCCTAGGGGTGGTGGACACAGGGGTGCTTGTGTCACTCCAACCCCAGTTTCAGGTGGCTCAGAACAGAGGTACAGATTTTGTTTGGGAAAAAGTAAGGGGAGAGTACAAGACTCTCTGCCTGGTAATTCAGAGACTTCTTCCAGAACTTGTCCAAGACTATCAAGGTGGTATCTCTACGAGACTGAAAGAACAACAGCACTAGTGGCCTTGGGGTCCCCCTAAAGCAGATAAAGCTTAGATTACAACATTCAAGTCTTTTCAAATATCTGGAAAGCCTTCCAAAGAAGGATGGGTACAAACAAGCCCAGACTGCAAGAACTACAATAAATAGCTAACTCTTCAATGCCCACACATAGACGAACATCTACAAGTATCAAGATGATCCAGAAAAACATGACCTCACCATGGGAACTAAATCAGGCACAAGGAACCAGTCCTGAAGAAATAGAGATACGTGACCTTTCATACACAGAATTCAAAATAGCTTTGTTAAGCAAACTAAAAGAAATTCAAGATAACACAGAGAATGAATTCAGAAATCTATCAGATAAATTTGACAGAGATTAAAATAATTAAAAATAATTAAGCAGAAATTCTGGAGTTGAAAAATGCAATTGTCATACTGAAGAATGCATCAGAGACTTTTAATAGCAGAATTGATCAAGCAGAAGAAAAAAATAGTGATCTTGAAGACAGGCTATTTGAAAATATAGTCAGAGGAAACAAAAGAAAAAATATAAAACAATAATACATTTCTACAGGAGCTAGAGAATAGACTCAAAAGAGCAAATCTAAGAGTTATTGGCTTTAAAGAGGAGATAGAAAAAGAGATAGGAGTAGAAAGATTAAAGAAATAATATCAGAGAACTTCACGAACCTAGAGAAAGATATCAATATCCAAGTACAAGAAGGTTATAAAACACCAACAAGTTTATCCTAAAGAAGACTACATCAAGGCATCTAATAATAAAACTCCCCAAAGGACAATAAAAAAAAAGAATTCTTAAAGCAACAGAAGAAAATAAACAAATAACATAAAACAGAGTTCCAATATGTCTGGTAGCACACTTTTCAGTGGAAAACTTATAGGCCAGGAGAGTGTAGCATGACATATTTAAAGTGCTGAAGGGGGAAAAAAATCCCTTTTACCATAGAAGAGTATATCTGGTTAAATAAACTTCAAACATGAAGGAGGAAAAAAAGACCTTCCAAGATAAAGAAAAGCTGAGGAATTTAACCAACACCAGACATGTCTTTCAAGAAATGCTAAAAGGAGTACTTAAATCAGAAAGAAAACAATGTTAATGGGCAATAAGAACTCATCGAAGGTACAAAACTCACTGGTAATAATAAGTACACAAAAATACATAGAATATTATAACACTATAACTGTGGTGTGAAAACTATTCTTAAATGGAAAGACAAAATGATGAACTAATCAAAAATAACAACTACAACAACTTTTCAAGACATATTCAGTACAACAAGGTATAAATATTAACAACAAGAAGTTAAAAAGCAAGGGAATGAAGTTATGGCATAGAGTCATTATTAGTTTTTCTTGTTCCTTGTTTGTGTCTTTGTTTATGCAAACAGTGTTATGTTGTTATCAGCTTAAAATAATGACTTATAAAATAGTATTGCCACATGGTAACCTCAAATCAAAGAAGATACAAAAGATACCTAAAAACAAAAGGAAGAAAATAAGTCAATCACTTCACTAAAAGACAGAAAAGAAAAAAAAAGAGAGAGAGAGAGAAAAAAAAAGACCACAAAAAAACCAGAAAACAAATAACACAATGGCAGGAGTAAGTCCTCACTTAGCAACAATAACATTGATTATAAATGAACTAAAGCTTCCAACAGAAAGACATATAGTGGCTGAATGGATGAAAAAACCAAAACCCTTTGATCTGTTGCCTACACAAAAGACACTTTACCTATAATGGCACACATAGAGTGAAAATAAAGGTATGAAAAAAGATATTCTATGCCAATGGAAACCAAAAAAGAGCAAGAGTAGCTATACTTATGTCAAACAAAATAGATTTTAAGACAAAAACTGTAAGAAGAAACAAACAAGTAAGGTCTGATAAAGCTAGAATATATAAAAAATTTAAAATATATATGCTCCAATAGTCTTTAACATCTAACTTTCAGCATTGAAAAAATCTTCCTGACACAAAATCAACAAAGAAATATTGGACTTAATCTGCATTATAGAACAAACAGATCTAACAGATATTTACAGAATATTCTATCCAGTACTTGCAGAATACACGTTTTCTTCAGCACATGGATTATTCTCACAGAATGGAAGAAAATATTTGCAAACTACCCATCGAACAAGGGGTTAATTACCAAAATACATAAGGAGCTGAAACAGCTCTGTAAGAAAAAAAATCTAATAATCCAACTAAAAATTGGCAAATATTTGAATAGACATTTCTGAAAAGAAGATATACAAATGGCAAACAGAAATATGATTAGGTGTTTAACATCATTTATCATCAGAGAAATAAATGCAACTCAAAACTACAATGAGATATCATCTCACCATGGTTAAAATAGCTTATACCCCAAAGACAGGCAATAACAAATACTGGTGAGGATGTGTAGGAAAGGGAACCCTTGTACACTCTTGTTGGGAATGTAAATTAGTGTAACACCATGCAGAATAGTTTGAGGGATCCTCAAAAAGCTAAAAATATAGCTACCATACATACCAACAATTCCACAGCTAGGTATATACCCAAAAGAAAATCAATTTATTGAAGAAATGTTTGCACTCCTGTGTTTGTTGTAGCTCTGTTCACACTAGCCAAGATTTGGAAGCAACCTAACATTCCATCAATAGATGAATGGATAAAGAAAATATGGTATTTATACACAATGGAGCACTACTGAGACATGAAAAAAAATGAGTTCCTGCCATTTGCAATAACATGAATGGAACTGGATGTCATTATGTTAAGCAAAATAAGCCAGGCACAGAGAGACAACGTTCACATGTTCTCACTTATTTGTGGGATCTAAAAACCAAAACAATTGAACTCATTAATATAGATAATAGAAGGATGGTTATCAGAGTTTGGGAGGGGTAGTGGGGAAATGACGGGGAGCTGCGGATAGTTAATGGAAACAAAATATAGTTACAATGAATGAATGAGACCTGGTATTTGATAGCACAACATGGTGACTGTAATTAGTTATAATGTGTTAATTTTGAAATAATTAAAAGAGTATAATTGGATTGTTTTTAACAGAAAGGATAAATTCTTGAGGGGATAGATACTCTGTCTTCCATGATATGATTATTACACATTGTATACCTATATCAAAACATCTCATGTACTCCATAGAATATGCACTTAAAAAAATAAAGAAATTGCTTATCAGTTTTTTCACTAAAAATAAAAGTTTGTTAAGAGTTAACATTGTAACATAAGTAATTTGGACTGCTGAAGAAACAGTTTTACATTCGAGGCATATAAGGAAAGTAGAATGTGTTCTTGGCGAAAGGTTATAAGACATGGAAATATGCTTTTTGTTAAAGGAAAAGTAGTTTTGTATATATTAGAGGGGTTTTATTGTATTGTACTGTTAAAAGAATGATAAAACAAAACTGAATATTCATGCAAGTTGTAAAACATTCATAAGAGATTGATTTATAAAGGATTTTCTATGTGTGTAAGCAAATTTGCCCAAATTTAAATGGGATTATTCAATATGCAATATTCAAAATTATTCAATTTGTTTTTCAATGAATTATACATTAAAGCACATTGACGCAGGGCTAGCATCAGTTATTTCAGAATAACAAGATTTTCTTGTAGCATTGATTTGCTCTATAATAGAAAATTACAAAAGTTATAAGAGGTTTATGAATATCTCACTTTATGGTCAAACTGATTAAAACTAGATTTATTTACAAAATCTTCTTAAAAGTAGCTTTAGCATGAATGATACACTAATACAAAGGTCAAATTTGGTTTTCTCTTTTAAACTTTTTTTTTAGAATATTGAGATATAATGAAAGTTTGTTTAAGCGCCTTTTGATTAAACTGCAGGAAAAAGTGAAAAAATAGGGAAGATGGAAGAAACAGATTCAGTTGGCCTCATCCCATCTTTACTGGGTCTTGTTGTTTGGAAAGCTGAGTCTCCCTTCTAACAACAAGAAAGGTTTTTTCATATTTGAAATCTTTGAGCTATAACTTCTGCTAAATGAATAATTTGTGATCCTATTCTGTGATATCCAGTGTTTTAAATCTTTGATATTTGACAAAGCTTTCAAAATCGAAATTTCAAGTTATAAACTAAGTCCTTTTGATCTCATTTACCTTTTAGATACTAAGTTCCCAAGAGCCTGAAAGAGACATTTGGCTTATTTGTTATGTTACAGTCACAAGGAAGCATTGTCAGGTATAAAATGGTGTTTGTCTTTCTTTGGGCTGTCTTTGTATAAATGGGTCCTTGGTGTGTATTTCAGAATTGTGTGAGACTTCTATAATTCTGATATGACAGTGTATACTATTAGTAAAAATTGATTGTTATGTTAAATTCTTGTGTGCCACACAAATGACCCAATTTCTCTGTCAATTTTGTCTTTAACTGTGGTTATTCTAAGACTTTTGTCATCCACAATTGTTATACTTTGATTCTTTTCAAAAGGTGCTTTTAAAATCAACTATAAGACTCTGTCGGGTGCTGTTAAATGCAGGTTCCCCCAAAATTTGGAAATAATGTCATTGAAATAAAGAAAAAAACTTTCCAGGACTCTCATGGAGAGCCCAATATAAAGTAAAACAGAAGTTAATTGCATGAACTGACTTAATAGAAGACTACGATAATCTTGTTATGATGTTTTGCTTAAAACATTGCTAATTATTTTTGTTTTGTATTTCAGAGTCAAGAAAACATATTTTCTTTTGAGCCATTTACAACATTTAATAGTTGAGTAAAGTATACTACCGTGAGAAAAAATAGAACATATCTATATGTCTCTACATGATTTCTCCAGAATTTTGAAAAAATTGTGAGTATTCTTAGTTTATGGCAATATAGTTATTTGCATAAGTTCAATAAGAATCTGTTTTCTTTTGTAACACAACAGAATTGGAGACACTGGTTATTTTACCAAGACTTTGAATCAAATGGCATGTTTTCAGACTGCTTTAAGAAATTGAAGTTGACCTATAGAGCTGATAAAAGCCTTTTGGAAAAACTGTCCTCATATCTTGTTCTGTACAGAGTTTCTAACCCTGTAAAATATCTCACTTTCTGGCAGGCCCAGGAACCCCAAGTTATTTTTGGACTTCAAGAAGAGAGAAATTCACTCAATTTATACAGGTATCTGCAGGCACAAATAAATCCTTGGCTGGATTCAAGAGGCTTTTAAAAGACCTAATTTGAGATTCCTTATGAAAAACTTCCAGCAAAGCCATAAAAAAAAAAAAAAAAAAAAAGCCTATCTGGCTACAAATTAGGTCAACTGTGATAAGACTAAAGCTTATTTTGCAAATAAATTGGTCCTACTCTGATGTGTCTTTGGCAGAAATGTAGAGAGAAAAATTATGTTTCACAAAAACTATAGTACACTTATTAGATTGCAGCCCTGTTCATTGTTTTTGAGTCTCTCTGATGACCCAACATTTGATAGGTTCTCGGGGTTATTCACATAGATCTCTCAAGGCTTCGAATTAGCTCTCTATGGACTCCTGAAGCTAGGGCTTTCACTCCTGTGATAGCGCTTACTAAAACTGTGGATAAGAGTGCCTGAAGCAGCTACATTGCCTGGGTATATACTCTGGGGTTCGTTGTCTCACGCCAGGAAAATTTAGGACATGGACACACAGTAGGAGCTTAGGAATGGAGGTTTAGTAGGCAGAAGAGAAGAGGAAGAGAAACAGCTTTCTTTATATATAGAGAGAGGGGTCTCTGAGCAGAAAGGACCAGCTGGCAGTGGATGTGCTGGAATTTATAGTCCAGTTTGAGGAGGTAGTGTCTGATTTATGTAGGGCTCACAGATTGGTTTGATCAGATATGACACTTACATCTTTCGTGAAGAAGGCTGGTGGCCTCACCCTAATCTTATTATGCAAATGAATTCTCCTTGGCTGGCACCATCTTGTCTGTTCCTTACTGTACATGTGGCTGGCAGAGAAGGGAAAATGGAGCCACCATCTTGAACATGTCTGGTCCCTAGCTCCTGCTGGCATTCACCTGTGCAAGCTCCCAGCTTGCTTGTCTGTGTCTGAAGTTTGACTTTACAGGATGCTCTTTGTTAGAAAATAATTTGGGGCTGCTTTTCATCAAAAAGAAAAGCCTTACCAAGGACTCCTGTACCCCCACTGTCTGCCTAAGTGATTTCTTCTTAATTCCTGTATCAGTACTAATGTTTTTGCTATGTGGATGTCGAAATTTAAAGCAGACACCAGTGAATATATACAGACAACTGCAAGATGATTTCACTCCTTTTACCCTAAGAGCAACCCTTACCACAACTATGCATCCTGTCAGCAAGAAGAAGTTAGAGTAGTTGCCAGTCTTTCTCATCTCCATGGCTCACACCTCGGAACTGAGTCAATCTGAAGCCCAAGTTGGGTGCTTAAATAACCTTTACAGAAATTTTAACACAGAGAAATCTAAAGTAACTACGTCTTGCTTCTAGTTTCAAAGGTTGGCTGTCTTCACTCGTTCCTTGGCATAAGGCAAAACTAACCATGCAGAAATTTAGTTTATAATTTAGCTTTGAAGCAAAGGTGATAATAGGCCTTCTTGAAACTGATCCCTTCCTTGTTCAGTGACTGAAATCACCTTTGTAAAACTAATGAAAGGCCACAAGATTAGGATCATGGGCGGGTCCTGAATTCTGCTAAAATGTAGGCGTCCTTTGCTGCTTTGAAGTCATGTGTCCAGAGATCATAAGATTTATGACATCCCTAATTGCTCCTACAGATAGCATCACTATTGTAGAGCCTAAGATTGGTCTTTGGAGATGTTTTTGACTACTTTTGAATTCTCAGGACTGACTGACCCCACCCAGACTCATGACTCCTGGCTCAACTGGTTCTGTGGTCTCCCTCCCTAAAGGCAGCCTCAGTGTATGAAGACCATTTTCCCTGCCCCTATGATTGCATCCCCAACCAATCAGCAGCACCCATCTCCTAGTACGCTACCCACTAAACTATGCTTCAAAAACCCAAAACTTCAAGCCTTTAGGGAGATTGATTTGAGTAATAAATTTATCTCTTGTATGGCTAATCTTGTGTTAAACTCTTTCTTCAATACACTAATAATAATAAAAAAATGGTGTTGGAGATCAGGAAATAACTACATTGCAAGGTAATTTATTGTAAATTATAGCTTGGAGTATTATGTTTTAGCAGACTATTTCCTCTCAAAAGAGACTGGAATCCTTTCCTACAAGTAGAATCTGAGAGACATTTTTCTTAACTAGAGATAGATTTATGCCTAAGTATTTTATGCGTTTGAAATGTTCTTGTTTTCTAACATGCTTTTATTAAGATAAATAACCATATTAGTCAAAAATTTTAGATATATTACTACTTACCTGGTTTGATTTGCACAGACTTTTTTGGTAATAATTTCTCTTAAACTAGGTTGTGAGTACCTAGAGCTGAGGCATTGTGATGTGTTCATCTATATAATTCAGGAACTGTGCACTTAAAATTGAATTAGCCCCAACTGGAACTGAATTAGCCCCACATGTAAGTCCTCAAGTATCCTAGATTCATTATTACTTTGAATGAGGGAGCACTTCAGAAGACTTAGCCTGACAAGTGATCATCAGATAACGAGTCATCAAGTGTGCTATGCTGGCATTAATCGAGCTTCACAAATTGAATTTATTTCTATTTCCTGCTTGTTATTGCTAGAAATGGAATTCTTGTGGGAAAAAATTCATCTATTGATCTCCCTATCATTTCTACTTTGCTACACTTGGCTCATTTCAGCAAAAGTCCCAGTCCTTTTATTCAATAAACAAATATTTATGGCTACATTTTATGTTCCAGGCACTGTTCTAAGTGCTTGGCATATGTCATTGAAGGAAACACTGATCGCTTTCCTAATACAATTCACATTTAAGTAGGGTTGGGGAGGCAGATACAGAAAACGCATGAAATGGATAATATGCCAAAAGAAGAAAAGTGGTAAAGGAAAAAACAGAACAGGGTAAGGAATATCTGGAGTAAGAAAAGTAGGAGTGTTTCACATTGCATTTTATGGAGGTGGTCATTGAGATGGTGATGTCTGAGCAAATAAAAGAATTAATCTCAGAAAAAATCCTTTTATGTACAGAGCAGTCAGTGCAAAGGCTCTAAGTTGGAGGTACATGTAGTATTTATAAATGATGAGTCCAAGAGCTGGAGCAGTCAAAGTAAGAGGGAGAGCAAAGTAAGAGGGAGAGACAAGGTTACAAAACTAGTAAAGGGGTCAATTCAAGCACTGTCTGGTCATTATAAAGACTTATTTTTGCTCTGAATAAAAATGGGAGCCAAGGCAGGGTTCTGTTCAAATCTCCTATGTTTTTATAGCCTTTATCTTTATTTCCTCTATTAATAATAGGAGTACATCAAAATATCCCATTATAGTAGTAGATTTGTCTATTTCCCTGTAGTCTTAAAAGTTTTGCTTTAAATGTTTTATTAGGTGAATATAAGTTAAGAACTGTCATAAATCCATGGTGAATTTGATGTTTTAAAATCATTATATAGAGGCTACTACTAATAAAGCTGTTTTTGTACAAAAAATTATTTTGTCTGAGAGTAATATATAACTATTACAATGCCTTTTGGCTATTATTTGTCTGATGGATTTCTTTTTTTCATTTTATTACTTTCTACTTTTCTTTAGCTTATGGATATATTTTAGAGAAGAAGCATACAGCTTGATGATGGTTTTGCTTGTTTCCTTGTTTTCTTTTTATCTTTTCCAATTCTATCTGATATTCTTTACATTTTCACTGACCCATATTTTATTATTTTTACATTTTTAGTTATTGTGCTTTCTACATCTTCTGTATTTTTATGTTCTTTCATTATTTTTTGTCTTATTTTATGAATTGATTACTTGCATTGTTTTTAGATTTATTTTATTGATTATATATGTTAATTTGAGAAGTATAAACATAATTTCACTTTATAAAGCATATGCTTTGAAAATTTACTGTGCACATTTAACTGGATATTAAATTAAATAATACCTTAGTTGTTACTGGATAAACATAAGAATCTTAGGAAATTCCAGTTTGATTATTTTAAATGCTAATATTGTCCAGTAGTTTATCTTCTTTTTAAAAAGAGTAAAACCAAATAAAAACATCATTATTATAAGGATTACTTTTATATATTATCTATTAAGTTGTATTTATTTCCCCAGAGGGAGTGTTACAGCACTCTTTTAGCTCTGCCATCTGCAGACAGTTTAAGTGTTAACAGCTCAGTGGGCCCTCTGTCATTTTGCATAAAGTGGTTGCTTTCCATCAGTGTGGGCAAAGGGGAAGTGTGATAGCCTTTTGTATTCATACTCGTGGCACCTGAGCTCTTGTATGGCTTCCAGGAGAAATGGTGTCCCACAAGCAAATTGAAGGATGGCAAATGCAGGCAATTTTATTGCTGATGTAGGTGGCTCTCAGTGGGAAGGGGAGCTGAAAAGGGGATAGTTCAGGAAGGTAATTTTGCCCTGCAGTCCGGTCAAGGGACCCACTACGTTCCACTCCTCACTGGACGAATTTTATATATGTGTGTGTGTGTGTGTGTGTGTGTGTGTGTGTGTGTACATATATAATTATAATTTTATTTATATAATTATATAATATAGAATTATATTACATATATATTTCTTTTTGCATTTTTTTCTTAGCATTTCAGTTGAAAGTTTTTCTTGATTTGGCTTCACGTTCACTTCAGCTGTGTCACATTTACAGACGAATCATTTGAAGTCATACATCATTTCTATTTTTGTGTTTCGTACTTCTAGGATTTCCTTCTGATTATTTTATAGTGTTCATCTCTCTGCTTACATCATCCATCTGTACTTTTATTGTGTCTCTTCATTTCATTAGAACCTATAATATATTATAACCTATAATTTATTAATCATAGTTATTTTAAATTCTCTGCCTGATAATTCCTACATCTGTGTCACATTTGAGTCTGGTTCTGATGATTGCATTTTCTCTTCAGAGAGTGTTATATTTCATAGCTTTTAGCATGCCTTCTCAATATATGGTGACAGCTGGACATGATATATTGGGTAATAAGAACTGAGGTAAATAGGCTCTTACTGTGAGGATTTATGCTAATATGCCTGGGAGCTGTGAAGTTTTTAAGGTTTGTTGTAGATGTAGGTGCCAGAAGCTTCCATGTCTTTTAGTATCCTTGATTTCTCTCCTCTCTTGACCTTGGGCTTCTGGAAGTACTCCTTCTTAGATAGTGTCTGTGTCTTACACCTCTTTACCTGTTATCTTTATTACTGCACCACAACCCTGGTGTTAAGTTGTAAGAGAAGGTAAATGTTGTACAGTCATACAACTAAACTTTATTCTTTAAATGGGTTTGTGTCTCAGGACTGTGACATCATATTTTAAAATGTTATCATACTTAAAACAAATATGATAGCCCCTCCCCAAGACTACCTATCTATCTATCTATCTAGATAGAAATATATATATAGATAGAAATATATTTCTTTTTGCATTTTTTTCTTTTGGCATTTCAGTTGAAAATTTTTCTTGATCTGGCTTCCAGTTCACTTCAGCTGTGTCAAATTTAGAGATTAATCCTTTGAAGACATATTTTATTTCTATTATTATGTTTTGTACTTCTAGAATTTCCTTCTGATTCTTTTATAGTTGTCATCTCTCTCCTTATATCACCCATGTGTACTTTCACTTTGTCTCTTCATTTCATTAGAACCTATATTAACCATAGTTATTTTAAATTCCCTGCCCGATAATTCCCCCTTATTCCCCATCCTCTTCCTGTTTACAGCATTTTGTTTGTAACTTTAGTCCCTTAAACATTATTTATCATACTCCCCCTCCCTTAGATGAGATAAAAAAGGTGGAGGGAACTACAGTTCCGAGGGATTACCTATCCCCAGCTGTTATAAAGGTTCAGAATTATCCATTGGCAAAGTATTTTCTCCTAAAGAATAGACATTTTTACAGAGAAGGCTCTGGATATGCCTATTCCCCAATGCACTGAGCATCTTCATTCCTACCTCCACACAAGGAAGAGAGAATTCTTCAGAGATCCTAACAAAGAAAACCTGGTGAGGTTTCTAGAGGAAAGGATGAAAATGTGGGAGGTCTTCCTAAGACTACAGCCTCCAAGAGTTTTCTCATTTTTGTGCTAGCTCACACTCAACCTCAAGTAAATCAAAATTAGTATTTAAATGTTCCCAGCAGTTATGGCTTCAATGGCTGTTCTAAATAAAGTAGACCTTAGTTGCTCTATCTCCCTGGATGAATTTGTTTCTCCAGCTTTTCGAGTATTAGTTTGTCCTTAAAGTTGATTTTTTGATGGACCCAAAAAAAGTAACTGATTCTAAGTTTTTCCAACTATTTTTTGCTGCAAGGATAGATGAGATGACATTCAAGAACATTACGTGGTGAATTTGATACCAGAATTCCCCAAGTGGTCTTGTCTAAATCAGTAAAGACAGTGTAATTGCCATCCCCTGCTAAATGTGATATATTCTGTTCTGTTCTTTCTTCACCTTGACCCTCTCTGCACTTTTTGATTACTAATTCCCAATCCAGGGTTCTCTTTTCTTGCTGTGGCATAAATGATGAATATCAGAATCTGATTCATACTTCTAAATTTTTGGATCCAGAACTTTCTGGGTCCAGATCATCTTTTCAACTTTCTACTATCATTCTTTTACACACTCTTCTCTATTCAGCGTACACATAAAACAATTTCTGAAACTGTCTTTGCAAAGATTATAGCAATAAGAGGGAGATAATATCACTGAGTCCATCTTGCTTCTAAAGCTAACTACCCTTTCTTATTCTTGCAAGTAGGCCAAGTTAACTATGGAAGGAATTTAGTCTATAGTTTAAAACAAATATGGTAACAGCCCTTCCCCTAGACTAACTTCCTCCTCACTCAGAGACAAAAACTATAGCATTAATGAAAGGCCACAAGGTTAGAATTGTGGTAAAGGCCTGAAATCTGTTAAGACATAGACAGAAGTTAAATGGTAACTAGCCATTGTTCCTTAGCTTGCTTTTCTATAATTGTTTACTTACTGCTAAGAGAGTCATATAACTGGGGTCCAGAAGACTTATAACTTCCCAAAATTGCTCCTGTAGATAATACCTCTATTATGAACCTCAGGACTAGTCTTTTAAGATATTTTTCAGTTTGCATTCTTGTGGACCAACTGATGCCCACTGAACTCACGACCCATACCAAGGAACTGACTCAACTTGTCCTGCAACCTCCACCCAGAAACTGCCTCAGAGTATGAAGATAGTTTCTATACCCCTATAGTTTCATTCCTAAGCAATCAGCAGCCTCCATTCCCTACCCTCTTGCCCAGCAAATTATCCTTAAAAGCCTTAGCCTCTGAGTTCTTCGGGAGGCAGTCTTGAGAAATTTCTCCCATCTTCCTCTCTCAGCTGCCTTGTGATAATTAGACTCTTTCTTTGATGCAACACCTGCTGTTCTCAGTGTATCAGCTGTTTTTGGACAGCAGGCAAGAAGAACATGGTTGGGCAATAATATTTTCTGCCAGAATTTCAAATAACTGGTATGAAAATAACTACACTTTGGCACAATGTTTTGACCACTCTTCCTTTTTGAATGTAACTTTTCCTGAAATTTACTTTTTGTTTCTATTTGCTCAACCCAAGTTTATATTTATAGTATGCTACTGGCTGTGCTTTCACCCTCCATTTCTCCTCACCCCAAATCCTAGAACTTCCAAAATACATTATTATAACTTTAGCACTTTAGCCTCTTTTGGAGTTGATTGCAATTTCCAGTTCAATCAATTTTATATGCTACCATTCTGAACTCCATACTATAACCCCAATATGATTGTGTGTAATTACAGAGGGATTCTGAAAAATTCCTGTAAATATTACTTCTATCTAGATTATAACATCATATTGATCAACTTCTTGTTTTGTTTTACTCAGAGCTTTAGAGAAAATGTGCATGGCTTTAGAGACAAACCTCTTCATGTAAAATCTAGCAGCTATATAATTTTGAATGGCCAAATTCCTCAACTCTTTGGAGCTTTTAAAGAGTTGCCATATTGTACAACCTCACAGAGCACCGTTTACATGGACTCCAGTATAAATGACACTTTCCAGAGGGGCTACATGGTGGTTATAATATTTGTATCAACTATAAGTAACAAGACATTTAACAGGGTATATCCTGTTGTCTAAAAATCTTATACAAATTCCTGCAACTGAGAATAATAGCTGATAACTGCTTGACGTCTACTAAACTCACCCATTCAGAACATATTAGATAGCAGTACTAGTGTGCCTATCATCAACCTCCAATTCAAATTCAAACTATGTCAAAGAAGACTAGAAATTAGGAGATCATTTTATCACAGTAAGAGTGTTTTAGATTTCTTCTCTCCCCATGAGGTTGTAGGAGTATATTCTACAGTTGCATAAAGTCAAAAGGTATGGTACAAGAGAATTTCTTATAAGTATGGGCTTTCAAGAAGGGAACACTCTTATCTTACTGCCTGCCTTAGTACAGAAACCAGAGACAAATGCTATGAAAGGTCTTTTTGGCAAAATGGACATGCATTCCATAAAAACATTGAGCTAACCAAGAATACAGAGACTGCTGGCTGCTTTCTACCTGAGAAGTTCTTTAAATAGAGGTTGCTTGGAGCTGCGTCTAACAGCATGGCAAAGAGAAAGGGCACTGGCAGCAGCAACCTTCACAGCCATCTTCTGGCGTGGCAAGGATGAATGAGTATTCCATGGAGCCAAGTGAAAACAAAAAGGTCATTTCAAGCCATATTTATCTAAGAAGGTTTCTGTTGAACTGCAAAGACTTTAGCATTAGAGGCCGTAGTTCTGCTAGGGACAGAAAGTGAGTAGTTTCAAGAACTGAGCCAAGGAATGACACATCCATGTTAGAAAAGACAGCAGTGAGGAAATCCTTGATGGCCTTATAAGGACCTAAACATTTACTATATAAGAGTTAGTATTTGGACACTTCTTTTAGTAGAACACAGAGTAGCTAGGTAATGTTAACTAGGAGACCAGAGCAGCATAAGTAAAAATATCTGAATCTCTAGGTCTCCAGATTCTCCTTATTTTTGCTCTGACTCTGGAAGTAGAGTGGGGCATGGGGGCCTGAGTCTAGAAGAGTGAGAGACAATTTTATGTCCCTCCTTTTCTTATAGGAGGGTGTCTATAAACAGGAGTCAGACTTGGACTGAAGGAATCAAATTTGTTTTTACTAGATATAAAGTTGAAGTTTTAAATTCATATTAGATTAAATATTTTAGTTCTTTAAAAAATGAGTTCATGAATCAAACTATATCGCTGAATGATATCTTTATAAAATAAATGCTGAACCATATCATTATTAAACGTCTATTTTCACTGAAATAAGTATGATGTAAATCTGGGTGGACTCCCAAGTCGATTTCAACTTACTAGAATGATATTATATATTTATGAGATAGAGACGCCATCCCTATCTGGCTTGTCATTAGTTCTTTATTATTTCCTAATAAAATTTCTGGAAGTTTCTAAATAAACATATATTAAAAATAAGTAGTTTATTAAATATCTTTTTTGTACTTATCAGTCTCATATGTATACAAAATAAAGTACCTAAAAGAATAAGAGACTATTCACAAGTAATTTACATTTGATTAACAGAAAAAAGCAGATACAATTTAATAAATGTGTCAATAATTTAACATATACTTTAAAATATACGATTTAAAATATATGATTTAATAAACTAGTATAGGTCATAAGATACTTTCTTTTTCAAAGTAAATTAGTTATGCATGAACAATCAACCAAAAATATTAAGGATAATGTAACACTAAAAATCTGAGAAGCCCATATGAATATTCTTGTAGTCATATCTCTGCCCTTGAAAAAGCAAGTAAAGCATCTTAAGATAATAAATATTCTTTTAGGTTTTGCATAGAAAATATTTATGTTTTCTTTCTGATTCTCTTTTGCTTCATTTTTTGTCATGATATCATTCTCCATTAAACAGAAGATCCACGGTATACTTGAGGTCAGTTTCCTCTAAAGATTTCTTTTTTTTTTTGAAATGTTTTTAAAATGATCTATCATGCAAAGACATTTTAAGAGTTTACTATTAATCAGATTGAATTTTAGAAAATATAAACCTTTATGCTCATATTATAAAAAAATTTCACAGTAAATCAAAAGTGAACATACTTTCTTTTAGAAAGTAAAATAAAGATAGAATCCAAATTTCAAACTCAACTACTAGAAAAAAACCAACAAATTCTAATTTCGGGGGAACACTTAGAATATTTTATATTTAAACAATGAACAAATAAGATAGCTTTCCAACTCTAGCAGGAGTTACATATCTAAATTATTTATAGAAAAATTAAATATGATTTCTAAGCAAAATAATCTATCCACAAGGGATGGCACAAAAATAATTAATCTTTATTTCAGAATTTTACTCATATTTTTGAATATACAATTTGTTCCATTTGGAGTAGAAATGTTTGGATGGGCCACCTTGGCAGCAAGAAAACAGTTGCATATATTCCCTTCTGGAAGAAATTACAAATGGAATAACTTCCTTTTAAGAAAAAGCAAAACTATAATTCTTTATAAGATGATAGAAAATTATTTAAAAAATCAAAGTAACTTATCATTTGCCTGTGCTATATGTGTGATATTTGTAGTTGGTATTTGAAAAAGAACATGAGAAGGGAGAGGAAGAGAGAGAGACAGAATGAGGGAGAAAGTTCGGGGAGAAGGAAGGAGGGAGGCAGACAGAGATAGAAGGAGGAAGAAAAGCAGGAGAAAGGATAGAAGAAGGAAGGAAACTGAGTAATTTATATTACAAGGGAACAACAACAACAACAAAACACTATGCCAAATCCAATGGCTAAGCATGTGATATAAAATTTTGGTACAAAATATGTGGTATAGAGGTTACATGCTTCTTTAGAATGTAAGTACCTCAATGGCATAGACCATAAACGGCACAATTTTTGTTTGTTTGTTTGTTTGTTTGTTTGTTTGAGATGGAGTCTCGCTCTTTCACGCAGGCTGGAGTCCAGTGGCGCGATCTCAGCTCACTGCAAGCTCCGCCTCCCGGGTTCACGCCATTCTCCTGCGTCAGCCTCCCCAGTAGCTGGGACTACAGGGGCCCAACACCACGCCTGGCTAATTTTTTTGTATTTTTAGTAGAGACGGGGTTTCACCGTGTTAGCCAGGATGGTCTTGATCTCCTGACCTCGTGACCCTCCCGCCTTGGCCTCCCAAAGTGCTGGGATTACAGGAGTGAGCCACCGCGCCCGGCCGGCACAATTCTTAAGAATGTTTATTCCTAATAATGTTTTGCAGCATAGTGGAAAGAACTACAATAAGCTAGTGTCCGGGAGTATTTGATTTGGATCTGGCTGCATAACCAGTTTACTACTAAGGAGATATGGATAAATTCTGTTAATATCACTAGACTTCAGCTGCTTCACACGTTGTTCTGCTAAAAATAAAATATCTAACAAAAATACCATTGAGGTATTAAAAGTAGCTACCAATTGATTGACAATATTTATTCATAGTGTTTAAAAGGGAAGTACATGGTTGAATTTAGGTCATATTTGCATTTTTCAAGCACATCTATTTAATGGAAATAAAGACTTAGAGCTTCACTGGAGTAGGTATGTTTAGGCTCAAATCTAATCAAGGATCTGTAGCCATATTTGCCAAAAGAATCCAGAATGTCATGGACCCAGGAGTACTTGTGTTACAATTTTGAAACCATATTTGGAAAATTGTTCCTAAAATTAAGCTAACTTTTATAAATTTGGCAAAATAATATACATGTGATTAGACAAAATAATTTAGATACAATGCAGTGAAATGTATTATTGATTTTACTACACATAGTAAATTTAAAAAAAAAAAAATAAGCCCAAACAATTATCCAGAGATACCATTTGACATCTACAGGCTATATGTAATTCATATGATCTTAGTGCATTAATTTGCCTCAGCAGAAAAGAAAAATTAAGTAGTCAGTATTTAATGAAACTGTGGCTCACATATTGAGCTAGAGATACATGACTGCATATTTTTGAAGCTCAAACATTTGTGTGACATGTTACTGCCTTTATTTATTAAAGAATAATGAATAATGTTCTATTTAATGACACTCTGTTTTTTAAAATGTGTATACTGTACTGCCAGAATTTATAAGCAAGAAAAAAATGATTCTTTATTACTATTTTATACTAGATTATGTTGGCACAAAGAGCATTGTGGAGAAATGGGGCTAATTTCCATCAGTGAAAAAAGCCTATTGCACTTACAATTGCTTGTATTACACTAAGATTTTCTACTTTTTCAAAAACAAAACACATCACTATATAATTTTATGTTCTGCAATAAAACTATCAAGTGAGCTGGATTCTTAGCTTGTAAAGCAACACATTATTTCACTATAAATGAATCTGCAGGAGATGCCAAGTTGTAAGGGGATTTGAAGAGTTTGAAGTAAGAGACAACATACTTACTGTAAAAGTGAACCAATTGATTATGCAATTCCATTGTAGCTGATATTACCTTATAATTAGATATAAATGTATATTTATCTATTTACATCCTTTTTAATTTACTGAACTATACATTTCATGAGGGAAATATCTACTTTTTTTCACTCAGTATTTAGGAGAGTGCTCAAATTTGGGCAACAAATATTTGTGAAATGAGTGAATACACAAATGACTGGCTAGTGATATCTAGTTATTCCATCAGAGATTTTTTAAATACCTGTTTAAACTTTAACCGCCAAATGAAAACAAATCATTTCATTTTGAAGAGTATTATCAAGTTAGTAGAAAAAACAGGAAGGCAAATCTGACTCTCAGCCTCTTTTTTCTCTGAAATTAGTTAAATATCTTTTCATTTTAAGGTTGATTGTGGTTGCAACTTTGGCTGAGATGCGTGTGTGTATATGTATAATTTTATTAAATATATAAAATATACACGTATAATTATATGTGTAATTTTCCAAAAATAAATTGTTATAAAAACAAATAAAAACCCCAGACAGTGAGAATATAAATATTTCTTGAGCATTTATTTACAGCACATTTCAATAAAACATTCTGCATTATTAATACACAAGTCCCTTTTTCTCTTTTTTGTAAAGAAAAAATGAATTTAGCTATCAACAATGGGCCTGAAACTTATCTAAGTTCTGCATGGTTGGAATGTTTTGCCAACTTACAGTGGACTGAATTACATGGGATTTTTAAAAGCAAATAAATGAATGTAATCTTACACTAAGAGAAAGGGGAAGGCTGGAAAGAATTCTCTTATGTAAGCACTGAGTCTATTTTCTATGTGGCATGTTTCCAAAGTGATAAACGAGAAAACCAAATCCGAAACTGATATAAATATGCTGTATATACATGCAGCAGATTTCTGTACTAGCACTCAGGAGTGCAGTTAGATTCAAAGAAGGAAGGGACAATGAGAGTGTGGGTATAAAATCCCAAATCACTATTATCAGGAGAATTTTTGCCTTGTCAGCAGTATTCTCTTCAGTTGGAAAAAATACTCTTTGTGTATTTGCATATGTTTGTGGGTATGTTCGCACATAGATTTACCATGTGTACTACCAGGGCCAGACAGAGGCATGTGGATGCCCCAGGCAGACTAATAAACTGGCACTCCCTGAAACCAGTATGTTTTCAGTGTTTCTTCTATATTCATGTAGAAGAAGGTTGACCTCTATATGGCAGAAAAGGAGGGAAAGTGGTGTATTGGGAAGAGTGATTAGCCTCTTCCTATGTTCTCAGACAGTTTATCTCTAGCATCATAACCTACTTGGCAAAACAATCTTGTAGTTAATGAGGTCTATGTTTAAGAAGGCAGTTTAAAGTTGCTCTGTTGATACTTGATGCCTTTCCTGTGTTTTACTCATTTGCTTAATCAAAGAATTTTCCCACTTCATGTAATTCTTCTAAAAATGATCTTGCAAACATAATATTCTCTCTATATTTACATTTTAGTGATTTTAGAACCTGTTTTGGATTTTGTTCCTGAGCAATTACCTAGGTGGCCTGACACCTGAACCATTTTATTAAACCACAAACCTGTTCAGCCGAACCTGTCAAAGCAAGATGGAAGCAACCCACTGAGCTTCTGTCATGAAAAGCCTCCTTACGGTGGAAACGTCTGCACCAACTTTTATTTATTTAGACTCTTTAAAAACCTCTTGACCTCATTTTTCTCCTTTAAAATTCTACTCTCAGAAAAAAAAAAGATTATACTGCCAATGTATACACTTTGGAGTGTGTGAATAGTTAATCTCTCCTCAAACACTATCCCTATTCAGATATTCTAAAGACTTTAAAAGCTTCTTTTCTTTTAAAATATATTGTAAAGTCCAAAAGACAATTAAGAAAAGGACTTTGTAAGTGGTATAGAATATCTTAATGGAGTCACACCACGTAATATACTTAGGTATTTAGGGGATTTACTTTTACTTTTTGGAAGTCAGTATATTTAATTTTATGAGTTGGAAGTTTTAGACTGATATGGTTAACTTACTTTTCTAACACAAGTAAATGATTGCTAGTCTTTATATATTTCTGGTAAAGGCCAGATGTGGAGTAATTGTTGTATGTGTATATAAATTAATGTACATTCAGGAACACACATGCACATGTACACACACACACACTCACTACCAATAGCCTCTCTCTGTAGAGTAAAAAGGGATAGCAGACTTTGGTAAATGTTATTTGTTTGTCACTTCCCCTGAAGTTCATAAACATGCAAACACAAACACATGGCACATGTATACATATGTAACTAACCTGCACAATGTGCACATGTACCCTAAAACTTAAAGTATAATAAAAAAATCATGCAATAATAAATATTCTAGGCTATTATAATGGCGTTTAAAAAGATTTATTTTAAAATATAGACTGAAAGGAAGTTGCAAAACTAGTACAAAGAATTCTGTCTACTCTTCACTGAGCTATCCTAAATGGAGATATGACAAACTCAGGAAATTGGCTTGTTACTGCTAACTAAACTACAGTGTTTTCACCATTTTAAAATCTGCATTTATTTGAGAGTATATACAATTCTGTGCAATTTTGTACCATGTATAAAGATATATATCCACCACCGAAATAAAAATACAGAAGAGTTCCATCAGCACAAAACAACTCTGGCATGTTACCTCTGTGTATCTGTATCCACGACATCACCACACACATATCCTGTCACCTGGCAACCATTAATATGTTCTCTGCTTTTATATTTTTCTGATTTCAAGAACGTTATGTAAATAGGACTACACAGTATGTAACATTTTGAGACTGACTTTTTCCATGAAGCATAAAGCTCTTGAGGTCCATTCAGATTGTTGGATATATCCTATAGTACATTCCTTTTAATCGATGAATAGTATTCCATTGCATGGATGTATGGGAATGTATGAATATTCATATATTCACCAAAGAAAGAATATGTGGACTGTTGTTAGAATTTTTCTATTAAAAATAAAGTTGATATGAACATTCATGTACAAATTTTGTGTTTTTTTAATTTTATTTTTTTGATGTGAACACAACTTTTCATTTCTCTGGGATAAGTGCACAAGAGATAACCCATGTTTAGATTTGTAAGAAACTGCCATACTCTGCAAGAGCGGTCGTACCATTTCACATTACCACCAGTGATATAAAAGACATCTAGTTTCTCTGCATCCTCTCCTCCTTTTAATATTATCACCATGTTTTATTTTATCTCTTAAAATAGATACATAGTAATATATCATTGTGATTTTCATTTGCATTTCTCTAATGACCAAAGATGTTAGAAATATTTTCATGTGTTTATTTTGTGTTCGTATCATAGTCATGTCTTTTGCCTGCTTTCTGATTGGATAGTTTGTTTTTCTACTTTTGAGTTTTGAGAATTCTTTATATATTCTAGATATAAGACCTTTTTTGTTAGTTATGTGAGATTACCTCCTCAAAAATGATTGAATTCTACGGCAGCAGGAAACAAGGGCCTTCTTTGGTACCAGCAAAGTAATACTTTTTAATCTATGTTTGTTATACAGGTAGTTATTGTATTACTAATAATTTAACTGTACTTATATATTGTTTTTATATGTTGTATATTTTCAAATAAAATATAATAAAATAGCAAACCAAAAAATGGTATTGCTTGTTTTGTTTTGTTTTTGAGATGGGATCTCAGTCTGTCACCCAAGCTGGAGTGCAGTGAGTGACCTTGGCTGGCTGCAACCTCTGCCTCCCAGGCTCAAGTGGTTCTTGTGCCTTAGCCTCCCGAGTAGCTGAGATCACAGGCCTGTACCTCCATGCCCAGATGGGGTTTCACCTTGTTGCACAGGCTGGTCTTGAACTCCTGGTCTCAAGCTATCCGCCTGATTCGGCCTCCCAAAGAGCTGGGATTATAGGCTTACACCACTGCATCCAGCCTCCATTATTTTTTAACTTTATTTACTTACTCTAGTCCTTTTTCTCTGACATGGATCCATGGATGATACACACACACACCCTTCGACTTTGCTTTTGCTTCTTATTCTTCATAACTTAACCTGGTGTCTGATCAGCTCATAAATTAAATGAAGAGAGTAATGTATTTTCTTTCCCTGTACAGTTCTTTCAACATTGATGTATTTTAATCATATTTCTTGTACTCCACATATAATTAATATATGTAAATATTGTCAGTACTTCCTGTGGGGCTGGGGGAGTGGAGGTACAACCTAATGCTTCTGTAAATTAGTTTTCATTTTTGAAAGAGCTTCTGGAAATTTTATGAAATCTGGAATTTATTATAATTAGGTAAAGCCTTTTACTATCTGTTTTGAAAGATCAAGTAGTCAGCAGAAAAAAGAAATAAGTTTAACTGCTCTATATATTAACCAGGGAAAGTGAATGAAATCTTCATTCATTTGATAAGTGAACAAATAAAATTTAATTTTAATTTTTTCCACAGGGAAATAAATCCAGACAGACATGTAACTTAATGACATTACTTAAGAAAAGCTTATGGTATTAATAATTTTCTTTAAAAATTGAGTTTATTAATGTAGGCACATAAAAATTATAATTCTGTTAAAAGATGATATACGTATAGGGCCGGGTGCGGTGGCTCATGCCTGTAATCCCAGCACTTTGGGAGGCCGAGGCGGGTGGATCACGATGTCAGGAGATCGAGACCATCCTTGAAACCGAGTTTCTACTAAAAATACAAAAAATTAGCTGGGCGTGGTGGCGGGCACCTGTAATCCCGGCTACTCTGGAGGCTGAGGCAGGAGAATGGCGTGATCCCGGGAGGCGGAGGTTGCAGTGAGCCGAGATCGCGCCACTGCACTCCAGCCTGGGCAACAGAGGGAGACTCTGTCTCAAAAAAAAAAAAAAAAAAAATTAAATAACTAAATAAATAAAATGATATAGGTATAAACGTTTATTCACCAAATATGTGGAACAATATATTAAATAGTGTCTTATTTTTGCAGTTTAATTAATTAGAATAATTAAGCCGTGTTTTTCACATTAAATCAGACTTTTAAAGTTATTAGTAAGACCTCTTTTATTCAGGAATAAAAATCAGCTGGGGTGGTTTTTATTCATGAAGGTCATCTTTGTATCACCAAATGTGTGTTAAGCTTTTTCAAAATATCATTGTAACTTGTATGAACTACGTGACCTGATACTAATAATACACAGGCATTTATCATGAAAAAAATATGTTCTGTTCTCCCTTCAGGAATTAGATTTCTTTTTCTATTTGTGAATAACAACTTGCCTTGTAATTCATTGAATTTATTTTTAAAATACTCTAATTTGTGTTCCAGTTTGCAATACATTACTCAGACTTAGCTATTAATAGAACTATGCTCCAAGTAAACATATAGCATATTTCCAACATTAATAACCACCCAATTTATCATGTACTTGCTGATGATAGAAAAGTGCTTTTTTACATGATTTTAAGGATGATAGGAATAGCAATTATAATATTTTTACAGAGTATTTTGCAGTTCACAATGCACTCTAAACTGATTGACTGTTGTACAGTCAATTTTACAGATTGAGAAAGGAGAGTCAGAAAGCCTAAGAAATGTACCAAAGTTCCATAACTTTCAAATTTGGGTGACGAATCTTTGTGGTTCTGCAACAATTGTGTTTGTCTTATAAACAAACACAGATGGCTCTAGACTATTATTTCAAGAATATTTGTAGGTAGAATAACCACTAAGATAGACCAAATGTAGGCAACTTTGCTTGAAGCCCATTAAAAAAGATCAAGACTCCTTCAGCTTGATGGTTCCTAGCTGTGATGCAAACCTACTGTGTCAGCTGCATCCACAGTGACTGTTCCACATCGGTCCCTTGGGAATTACGGACAAAAGAAATAGGCATAAAAATGAAGCCACGAATAATAAAGTTATTCGTCTCTGATTCAAGAGTTTTGTGTCTTTTATCGGCACCTATAAAACTGTAGCCAACTTGTTAGTATGAAGTTATTTCAAAATCTCAAACCGTTAATAGTTCTTGGCAATAAATTGTGCAGCAGAAGAGCAAAAGATTTCCTTTGTTTCATGGTTCAGTACACATTTTACATACTGTGATGGGTCCTAAGCAAATTAACATATTCAGATTCCCAGGATATATTTTCTACATAAAAATGAAGGATGTATGCTATTGTATCCTAATCGGGCTAAGTATCTCATGTACAGTCATTTTGATTTTACGTATATGTTTGGATATAGGATGTCTCTGGAATGATATGAACAACTGACAACAATGGTAGCATCTGGCAAAGGAAACTACATAGTACAACAATGGGAGTAAGATTTCCTTTTCAACACCATACATGTTTGCTCTTACTGAACGCTATTCGATGTGAAAGGCAGTATATTATAACGGTCAATAAAATCAAGCTCTCCAGGTTCACAGACTTAACTGACTGTGTTATATTGATTCAATTTATTTACAATTAACTTGTGTATGCTTCAATTTCCTTATTTATAAAATTGTGGAGTTATAATATTTCCCAACAGGTTGTAAAAATTGAATAAGTTTTTACTTTAAAGGCTTTAATACACTGCCTTAGAGTAAGAGTTCAGCAAGAGTTAGCAATAATTATTCAAAATAATTTTAAAAAATTTTCAAATAATTTTCACTTGTTCATATATTTCTAAATTAATTCTGAATGACAGAGTATTTCATTATGTGCATACAAGGTACAACAGTAGTTGAAAAGACTGACAGAGTACAGTGTGTGTGTGTGTGTCTGTGTGTGTGTGTGTGTGTGTGTGTGTGTGTGAAGTCTTCAGTTCAGACTGAGACTGAGATGTAAATTACTGATGCCAGAACATACATTTTGAATATGTTTTATTGAGGGGATGTAAGAGAACACTGGCTGTACTAAGAAAAGGCTAATGATGCTACAGATACTGTAAGAAAATGACACAAGGAATTTTCAAGAGTGAAAACACAATCTGTTCATGACAAATCTGTCCCTTAAATGAGCACTACTTCAGTAAATGGTTACCAATTAATTATTTTCCCTTGCTTTTCTTATGCATTTATTTATCCATCAATTCAACAGTTATTTATTCAGCACCTTCAATCTGCCAGGCCAGTTAATAATGAAGAAAAATGCTAATCAAATAATGCACTATTAATAGTACTTAATAGGTACTCTTATAGCCCTTTAACAAGCGTGGGATTGAGGTTTAAAAAATTCACAAAATGTGCTGAAAGCCACATGGCTCAGTTTAAATTTCCCAAATGTTGATAAAAATTTTATCAATTTTTGAGGCTTAAGCAATATAATCACTGAAAATAACTTATTTCAGTGCTTATAATTCTGATCGCAGACATACCATCCTTTGGAACAATCTGTGATAGTTCTGAAATTGACACACTCTGGTACTGATACTTTTTTGTAAGTATAAATCTCACTTACACAGATAATACATCTCACTTCTATCTGATAGTATACCCTCTAGCCATCTTCTACTCCCCGAAAGGGGAATAGATGGGTGCAGTGCACCAGCATGGCACATGTATACATATGTAACTAACCTGCACAATGTGCACATGTACCCTAAAACTTAAAGTATAATAAAAAAAAAAAAAGAAAAGTAAAACATGTTCAAAACAACAAAAAAAAAGAAACTAAAGTTCTAGAAGTTCAGCCTTTTGGCTCTAGCCCTGAGGACCTCAAGTTAAAATGAATTGGAAAAATACCCCTTTGTTTTGTAATAACTGGTTGACTATACATATTGGGTCTTAACATATGTACCAGAAACCTAAGTAACATCTGCTCACTTGTTTGCTTTCAGCCAGACCATGTTAACCCTGGGATGAAGCCATTGTTGTCTCAAATTAACACAAGTATTTTAGTCACATCCACAGGGTCAAGTCGCATCACTGCAGTAATGCCCACTACTTTTCTCATTTTCACAATTTCTTCTAGGAATTCTAGCTCATGAAAATGTAGTCCACATATAATCCCTAGTCAAATTAGGACTTGCAAAGAAATATGGACAAAGTATGAATAACTAGAAAAAAAAACGCTACTGGCTTCAGATGAAATCCATTACCCAGCATGGTTTTTCTGCTACCAGTACTTAAGCATCCCTCTCTGATTATAACAATTCTGTGGACACGACCAAGGCAGTGATGTTGTAAGTCAGGCCAGATCTTAAAGGGAAGTCCCATTCTTGACTAGCGTTGTGTCTTTCTTATCTATGGTGCCATGTGTTAACAAGATGTATCAATCAGATAGTCAGGATAGTTGGGAAGTGTACATCAAGACCTAACTCAGTTAAAAATGTGAGGCAACTCCATAGAATTGTGAAAGTGAACTCTGTCAAGACATTTATATGAGAAAGATCTTGGAATTTCACAATCTGCATCCTCTTTAGAAAAGCTGCCTAAATTTTCATATGCCTAAATATTATTACATCTGATTGTGATAGTCAGAACTCTAAGATAGTGCTCCCCAAATTTCCAGCCTCTGGAGTATACATATCTTTTCCCAGTCAATTACACCCTGACCTGGGTGCTGCTATAAAGGAATTTTTCAGATGTAATTAAGTTCCTAGATAAATTGACTTTAGCAATGGGAGAATATCCTACCTGAGACTGATCGAATCATGTTAGCCCTTAAAGGGATCTAGCTTTTCCCAGTTAGAGAGATTTGAGGTATGAGAGGAATTTTAGATAAAGATTTTCTGTTGCTGAGTTTGAAGATGGAAGGGGTCTCATGGCCTCTGGGAGATGTAGGAGATTCCATCTGAAAGCCAGAAAGGAAGCGGGGACCTCAGTCTAACGGCTACAGTGAACTGAAAGAGGACTTCAACCTCCTGATGAAAATGCAGTTGCTTGACACGTTGATTTTAGCTTGTGAGACCTTGGACAAGATCCCAGCCACACTGTGCCCAGATTTCTGACCTACAGAACTATGAGCTAATAAATGGGTGTGGTTTTAAGCCATTATGTGGCAATTTACTATGAAGGAATAGATAAACAATATACAGTTTGGCTGTGCTCTGAATGCAGCTTTATTGCACTATTATTTGATTTTTAGAACTTTTTCTATTTTCTAGTCTACTCTTTTACCTGGGTAACTGTATTAGTATTTAAAAAGTTTAGTAGTCTATCCAATATATTACAAAAGTGAGGGAGAGTTCGAAGAGCTTGCATATAAATGTACAAATGAATAAATGTCTCCTGCCAACATTCGATAGAATTATTCCTGAAATTTTGTTTAAGTACACATGTTTCCATAACATTGAACAGACATTTGTCTAATTGCAACAGAAAGTCAGTTTTTTAAGCCTCTTTCTATTAGGGGCTGAGGAGCATTGCTTGATTTTCTTTGGCACTTTCCACCATATGGAAGACTTGAAGGTCCAAAGACAGTTATACTGAGGCTGAAGTATTTAGCCCATGTACCACTTCAAGGGAAGTCAAACTTTCCATAACAATCTTTCATTTATTTCATAGTTTCCAAGACTTTTCATTTCTGTGGCATTTCCTTAGTGTGGCTAAACCACACTTCAACTCTTATCCTGGCAACAACTCTGCTTCCTGGCAAGTGCTCAGTCATTTAGAGTCGACTGTGGGTTACATAGCCTGCTTTATAGTCGACCCCAAAACATCATGGTCTGAAGCTGTTTCAGCATTCCAACGTCCTGTCTTTGCTCTCCTGAAGCAATCTATCGCCACTTAGAAGCTCTGAGATAGACAATGAGACCTTGTACACTACCAGAGGGATTAGCCTGATTTCTTACAGGAATGTTTACGTAATCTGTCATTTGTTCATTTAACTTTATATTCCCAGCAAAATAATAAATGTTAAGAACTCATAAATATTCACTGAGTGAATTAATGACTCTTTGTATTCTAATTATCTATTACAGTTAGCAAGGTACATGCTTTTTAGCCATAAACACCTGTATTCAAGTTTCACTTCTCTGCTATGTCCTATACATTCTATAGATGTGATATAGGAGACTGCTTGAGAACAAAGGAACAAAATTAAACAGGTTAAACTTCTAGTCCCCACCCCTACCTCCATAAGATAAGGCCCAATTAAATTCACTTCTTATACTGGGCTTTCCTGTATAATATCATTCATACTAATGAAAGTTTGAAAACCACTGTGATATGAAATGAATGTTTATATCCCCGAAACATTCATATATTGAAGCCCTAATCCCCAGTGGGACTACATTTGGAGACAGGGCCTTTAGAGAAGTAATTAGGGTTGATGAGGTCATGAGGAAGAGACTATTACAAAGTTAGTATTTTTGTAAGAAGAGACACCAGAGCTTGTGCTTTCTCTCTCTCAGCCATGTACGGACACAGTGAGATGGTGGCAGTCTATAAACCAGGAAGAGAGACCTCTCCAGAAACTGACTATGCTGGCACCTTGATCTAGCATAGCTGGCACTATGCTAGATTCCAGAACTAAGAGAAATGAATTTCTGTTGTCATGGAATCCTGAACTGACTTAGACACACTGATGAAAGGAGTTCACATGTATTGAATGCACACAGTTTTAAAATTATATTAAAGAATGAAATTCCCCAATAACCATATGAGATGGCGTTTTTATTATTATCCACATTTTACAGATGAAGGGAATAGGAAAGAGACAGTACAAATATCTTACCCAGGATTTCCTGGCTGCTAAGCGAAGGAGTGTATTAGTTTCCTATTGCTGTCATAACGAATTACCACAAACTTGGTGGCATAAACAACAGAAATTTATTTTCTCACAGTTCTGCAGAACACCAGTCCAAAATCAAGGCACTGGCAGTGCTACATTCCCTCTAGGGGTGCTAGGAGAGAATTAATTTCCTTGTCCTTCCAGCTTCTGGTGGCTGAAAGAGGTTTGTGCCCACACTGCTCCAGTCTCAGCCTCTGTCTTCATATTGCCTTCTCCTCTGTATTGGTCTCAAACATCCTTCTGCTTTTGTCTTAAAAGGACTATTTGTCACGGTTTTATTCCCCATCTGAATAATCCAGAATGATCTCCTCATCTCAGAATCCGTAACTTGCTTACATCTGCAAAGATATTTTATTCCAAAAAAGGTAACATTCATAGGTTCCAGGAATTAAAATATGAATATATTGTGCTGGGGTCATCACTCAACCTAGTATAAGAAGCCACAATTTAGACCAGGTAATCTTGTTCCAATAAGTATAAGGTATAACAAATGAATTAAGGCAACATTTTAAAACCTAAATTTAAAGCAATTTGGTCCTATTTTTATATTTAGCCTTATACCTTTCACAGAGTACATATGAAGACCTTCTGGATAATAAAATCTCACATATATGTGAGTTAAATTGCAATAAGCAAAGCATCATAACCCCAAATTATGCTACATGCATAAGAATGACTGAATTCTTCTGATATAAGTTCCTCTTAGACCAACATTGACTCTTTCTTATAAACACTATCTAAAAATACCAATATCTAAAACACTATCTAAAAATACCCATCATGCCAATGTGTCTCAAAAAATTTGTTGATTGTTTTGTTAAAAGAAATCTAAGTACACCTCCCAATTAAAATAGTTTTCTCTAATTACCCAATATTATTAAGAACTAAGTTTATTGCTGGAGATAGCATCTGGAGATTTTGCTGGAGATATTTTACTGGGGTGAATGATATTTTAGACTCAATACAAATACTTCCTCTAGGCCTCTCAGTGATGTTCTTTTGGGGAAGTCACATTGGATCCCCTGTGATATATTTCGCTGGAAATACCCAATTAGATTGCCTGATTGGTATATATAAAATATGGCATGTAGAACAAAAGATGTTGAAAATCTTTGATAAATATATGCAATGGCAAAAGTATTCTTGTATCAAAAGTTGGATATGAATGCCAGAAAAAAATAAACTTTTAAAATACCATTTTCTTTCAACAAACAGAATTGAAAATATGTTGAGTGTTCTGCCAGCCATTTTCATTTTGTTACATTTATTCTATCATTTTTAGGACTGATATTATATCCTCTCTTTATTATCTTACCAAATATACCAGAGGTTTTGAACTAAATTTCTCTCCCTTAATTCTGTTTCAATAGTATAAACATTTCTTTGGCATATAACCTCATTTAAATATTTTCTTACTTTAATTTTATCCTGAAAACCCCATGCTAATTTTTAAAGGCAATTCTTAAATGAAAAATTTATAATAATGACTTAGTATTTTGGTGTAAATCAAATAGTACTGATGGGGAATTAATTCTTGTGGTTATATTCTGCAAAAAAAAATCACAAATGCAGAAACACATTTTGCATTTCATATAACTTTGAGTGCCCCATTTCGAATCCCAAGATGACTGCTATAAAAAGGGAAACAAGTGCAATATATGCCAAAAAATGAAAGAAACATAGAGAGACACTTTAAAAATATTAGGAAATATGTGACAAATCTTGGTGTTATATTATTTTTCATTCTTAAGAGTTTGAACATTAATTTAGAAACCAACTGACCTGTTGTTTTCTAAAATAGCATTTTGCTATCACTTTTATTTTAGGTTTCCTGGATTATAATGCATAAATTATGAAGTTTTTAAGTAGGAAAAATGGAACAAACTAATCATACAAGTGCTCAGATTCTCTTTCCTAAGCCCTTAGTGGAGAGTCAACAATTTACTTCAATCTCCAGAAATAGAGTAGGCATTAAGGACATATAAACCTTTTATCTAGCCGAGAATGGTATAGTAAGGAGGAAGGCATATTATCCAAGGTACACATTAGAAGATGTAATATTTAAAAGAACACTCTTTTTAAATAGGAAACTACATGAAGATCTCTCACAGGTTTAGAAGAAGAGTTTGCAGACTATAAGATATTTAAATGTTTTAATGCTAAAACAATGTTATCCATATTAATACTACGTTAAATATTAGACAAGAGTCTGTGGACTAAATAACAGCATTTTTTCAGTGTTTATTTTGTAATTTTTCAGGTAATATTGTGGTAACATAGAGAATTTATCATTTACAGGAAATGTACTCAAGTATCTATGGGTTATCATGCATTATGCCTGCACCTTATTTTCCTACAGTTTAGTAAAAATGTTCTTTGCATTATTATTGTAACTTTTCAATAATTTTGAAATTATTTCTTGGTATAAAGAAAAAAATATATTTCCAGGACAATTTTTGGGTTAGATGTAGCTCAACTAACAAGGCTACACATAAAACAAAATGCGGTAAAATATGATCCTGAGTAACCTATAGTATTAACTTATAAAGAAACAATACATGGAAACTATAAGAAATAATAATATAAATTATTTTTAGTTCCTTATTTTTTCCTTTAATACTAACAGTGACTTTCTAAAATTTCAAATAAGTTTATAATTATAGGGGAAAATTGCAAAAATTGTGAAAAGACCTTCATGTTGATTACCCTTCATTTAGGCTATCCCAATTGTAACCTGTTATTATATTGCTTTGTCATGTCTCTATTTTATATACTTATCATTATTACTATTGTTATTCTGAATCATATGGGAGTAAGTTGCTGAATTACTCCTAAATACCTGAGTGCCTTTTTCTACTTTACCACTCATACTAATGATGCTAATAATGTCCTTTAGAGCATAAGGAAAAAAAAAGTTGTAGTCCAGGATCCAATGCAGAGTTACACTGCATTTACAATCTGGAAGAATTCTTCAGTCTTGTTTTCTTGTCTTCCTTGATCTTTACATTTTTGAAGATTACAATTTGGCTTTGGAGGTATCTATTACTAAAATATCCTGATATAAGCAAGAAAGTCTCTTTCTGGGTATTTGTCCTAGATAAACCACATATAAATATATCTGAGCTTAGAGAAGCAAAGTAAATAATAGCTAGTTTTAGAGTTATTTAATATTTTTAAATATGTATGTATACAGCTTTAATAAAGACTAAAATTTAAAAAAATTAAAAAGTGAGTAAATTTAATCACATAACTGGAAAGCCCCGTCTTACCAATTATTAGTAAGGAGAAAGACAATTTGATTTTAGTGTTTAAATACAAGGGCTGAGCCCCAACCTGACCAGGTTGCCAGATTACTATGTCTGCTCTCAGGCTTCCTTTCACAAATACTCCTTGGATCATAATGACCAAGACTGCTCAGGAAATCAAATTTATCCTTTAAGGTTGGTTTTCATATATATATATATATATATATATATATATATATATATATTTTTTTTTTTTTTTTCGCCTCGCAGAACCCTACTTCTAATTCATGGTTTCTTATCTGGCAAGTTTCCAGCAGATGGGGCCTTTTGTTTCCAAGAACTCTACTATTGTACAGTATAAGACTCTTTTCTCCTCAGAAATCATCCACTATCTGAGAAATGGCATTCTGCTTAAGGCAATGAAACATAAAGGTCCAACATAGGTTCTTGCTCACCACATAAAAGTTATGGAGACCAAGATATAGAAATCAGGGTGGACCAACATTCTAGAGTAAGGCTCCCAGAATTGTAACCTTGGATCTGTGAATAGATTTCAGAGGGTTCATGAAACTGTATGGGCAAAAACTGTATACTTATTTCACTAATTTCTAAGAAAACTGAGCACTCTCTTCACTTACAAAGTAGTCAACAAAGTTTAATAAGTTTAGCAGTACCTGCAATTTTTCAGATATCACATGTTTTCACACAAGTTTAATGACTCTTGGCCTGCTGAAGTTGTTCATGCCTGTAATCCCAGCACACTGGGAGGCTGAGAAAGGAGAATCACAACATAGGGAGACCGCATCTCTACAAAAAATAAAAACAATTTAAAAAGTCCAGGCACGGTGGTGCATGCCTGTGGTCCCAGCCACTCCAGAGGCTGAGGTGGGTGGAAAGATTGAGCCTGGGAGGTCAAGGCTGCAGTGAGCCTTGATTGCACCACTCCACTCCAGCCTGGGCAACAGAGTGAGACCTTGTCTCTCACACACCCACACACACACACACACCCCCCCAAGATTCTTAATGGAAGATCTTTGAGTCCTTGCATATAAAGTTGTCTTCACAAAAGCAAGTCATGGTACACATGTAACTGAATTAAAAAATAGTTTCATGTGAGAAATAGACATTTTTGTAGATAAATTTGCAGAAAGCCAATTTAATAAAAGCCAATTTGCCACAAAGAATCAACTTACCTAATCAACTTAATACATTTTTAAACTGGTTTTAAAATCTTTCAAAATTATTATGCAAATATAGGTGATCAATTACTGTGTTAAAAGTGCTTTTCCATTTTATGGAATATAAAATGTTCATAAACTGAAGAGCCAAAGAGTGTTTAGTTGATACATGCAATCAACATAAATATGTATTTGATTAGGAGTAATAAAAATATCATCATGATCATGTTGGTGTCATTTGTTCTTCAAGAAGAATTATACATGATCTTCTGAATGGAGACAGAAAAAAATTTGATATGATTCAACACCCTATAAAAGTCTGGAAAATAAACCAAGTGAAAGATAACAGCGAGAGGAATAGAGAGTGAAGGCGACCTATTTAGAGTGTGGCAGCAAGAACTCAGATACTTACAGTCAGTAGATCAGTTATAAATGTTTGAATCCCAGGTGAGATGGTTGTATTTCAAAATAAGAGCCAAAGCTACTACTAAGCTGTATGCACAGACTGCTCTTGCTTTACCAGGCACTGGCTAGGTGCTCTCCCTCTGTAATGGTAGCTATCTAGGGCAATCTCCCACAGTGTCTGCTTCTAGTGTTTAAAAAAGTTGATATCCCAATATTTAACTTCCTGTCCTCCTAAAAAGTTCTTTAACTAATTTGCAACATAAATACTAATAATTTTTTAAAAACCTGAAACTCATAATTCAGATATTTATTAGTTGTTCTACAAAATTTAGACTCTGAGAAACAAAAAGAATAATATTTATGTGGCATTTTGCAATGATTTTGAACCGGTTAGTGGTAAAAAATGTCAAATATTTTTACAATGTAAATAAATTTCTGGGGGAATAATTGTACTAGAGATGTGAAAGCACTTATATCTAAACCATGTGCTGTGTGTAGTTGAGGTAGATGATGTTGTAAGAACCAGTCCTAAGCACAACCATTTAAGTCATTGTGCCCATGTACAAATTAGGATCATTATGAGAACTCTTCACAGTTGTAAAACCCTGAGAAATTTTCTCAAATTCAATAGGTAGATCAAATCCTTCTGTCATTTTAAAACTCTAAGTATAACAATGTGAAAAGTCACATAAGAAGTGTCAGAGAAGCCCAGCCCATTAATCCATTTCTCACCACAACATTATAGTTCCTCTGGCTTCAATAAAATGAAAAAAATATATAGTGTATAGTTTTGTTATCTGTTCCCCTGTGTGAATGCTCTCCTTTTCTTTCTCGAAAATCTCTTATTTTCATTTGTGAATCCATGAGGTTTTGGGGGAAATGACACTATTCATATAAAACTGAGGTATCTTACCTGTTCTAGGGTAATCAGCATATGAAATAACCTAGAGAGAGTGATTAATTTAGAAATAGGCATGTGCCTCAAGCCAGTCAAACGGAGCAAAAGTCAAGATTTGTGAGGCAAATTATGCCTATA